>NC_000002.12:52917625-53220655 GCF_000001405.40 Homo sapiens
GAATACTTAAAGTGCCACTGTAAAGATAATGTATGTAAAATTACCTAGAGTGGGAAAAGGAAGAGGTGAAACTCACATTGCGTCTAACGGAAGGATGTTGTTGAGAAGATCATTATGTGATCTAGTTTTGAGAGCTCTGCTCTAAATTATGAGAATATTTACTTTAGACTCGTAACCGTTTTGTTTAGATCACATAGCTAAGAGTAGTCTGACTGGTATGCTTTCCTAGCACGTTTAGAAATATCTTTATGATTCTACACTTTGTACTTTCATTCCATTTTCATTTTCAATCCTGTGTCCACTTTGCACCAATCCATATTTTCCTCTCTCTCGCTTTAATTGTATGTTATTTGTAATATTTTATGTGGTTTTGTAAGCCATCTTCTTTCTGGAATAGAAAGTACAAACCAAATATTTCAATATTGTAGTTAATATTCAGTTAACACAAGTTGAATCTGAATTTTAAAGTGGAAATATAGTAAGAATACAGAAAATCTAATCTACTTTTTGCCTTACACAAAGGAGGCATTCAAAATCATGTTTACCTGATTTGATCAAACCTTCTAGGGCTTATAATTTAAATAACCATATATTCATTCTAAACCTATTTGGTGAATATGCATGATACCTGCATGATTACTTGTTAGATGTCAAGAGGAAATAATCACAAATTAGCCCTCTTACTCTTCATATCTGAGCATAATATCAGCAGACAGATGAGACTTAAATGCAAATACTTTAATATAGGATACAGATTATTCTTGGCAACACCCAGCCTCAGCATGCTTTCCATTTCTGAAGCTTCTCTCCAAGAGATAAGCCTCAATCACTTGCTGTGCTGGTACTAGAGGACACAGCTACCATGACAGTGGCTGATTGGTCTGCATCGTTTTTCAGTCCAAAGTTAGTCTATCTGTACCATAGGTTGGCCAGTTCTTTATGGTGGTCTGTTGATAAAGCTCTGGTGGAAGGAGTAAAGGATGACTAACTTGGTCATTCAGATCCTCTCTCTGGATGAGTGTGAATTTGAAACGAATATAAAGTAGTGATACTGACAGTCAAAGGACACAGAGAGAACATGAATCAGAGAGAGTAGCCATGACCTCAAAGAGAGAGCACAGACTGAAATCAGAAAGGTTCTGGGAATGAGACATCAACCAGATACTCATATTACAAGAACAACTTTCTCCTAATATTTCTCAACATCTTAGCTCCCTGAGATTGTGGAGGAACTTTCAGGTTTACACAAATGCTTGCTACATAAACAAGACTTCTTTTTCCCAATAAATTCTCATTTCTTCAGGGATCCAAGAATGCCTCTCTTCATTGCACCCACATGGGTTAACTAATATAGGGATATTCCATCCAATTGACATACACAGAAGTGAAAATGTAACTTCACTAGAATATAGCAAAAGAGTACACACATTGTAACTGCACCTACCAACTCCAACTGAAGAATAAACTGCCCTTGCAAAGAGATTTGCTTTCCCTAAAGCCATGAAAATCCTGCAAAGATATGTAAAAGAACAGATTCTAAAACTAAAACAGACTTTAGATGTTGCCAAATCTAATTTCCCCCACAGTTCACGAGTCCTATCTGAACCAAAGCTGTTTTAGTCTAAACACTTATGTCCTCCCAAAATTAATGCATTGAAACCACATCACCAATGTGACAGTATTAAGAGGTGCAGCCTTTGAGAGGTGATTAGGTTATTAGGGCTCTACCTTGATGAATGGAATTACAGCAGATCCTTGAATAATGTCCATTCACTCAATATTATTTTGTTATAACATTGATGAGAACATTGGGTTTTCTCCAGGTACTCTGGCTCTGTACCACATGCCAAAGGCACATTAAGTCATCAGGTAAAAGAAGTGGGTAGATAATCATCTTACTTGTTTTCACTAACCTTCTTAAATAAATGTCTAGCTCACATTTATTTCAATACTTAATATTAGAAGTATTTTGATCTTTATTTTGGAGTTGGGTGATGTTTTGTAACCAGGAATAGGCTATAGGAACTTAGCTCTTTTTTATATTAATTAGCCTGTGGGAAACTGATTTCATTATACGTCATTTTGCTTAAAGATGCAGTTTCCAAGGACCTACGGATGATGCTAAGTGAGGACTTACTGTAGTATCTTTGTAAAAGAGATCCCAGAGAAGTGGCCACCTGCTACTGCCTTCCACTCTGTGAGAACACAGCAAAAAGGCTCTATCAATGAACCAGGAAACAGTCTTTCGCCAGATACCAAGTCTGCTTGCACTTTGACCTTAAAATTTTCAGCCTCCAGAGCTTTTCTGTTGTTTATGTCATCTGGCTTACAGTATTTTGCTACAGAAGTGCAAATAGTTTAAGACATAAGTAGATGATCATTCTCTCGGCTTAAGTACTAAATTTTCAGGGACAATTTTACTATATTAATGTGGTAACCCCTTGAATTGTGTGAAAAAGCACAGCTACATGCTAATTGTGAGAAAGCTTTTCCTTATACTGTGCTAAAACTTGTGTTCCTGAAATGTATTTAAATCAGTCTTTGACTAATGGAAGAACAAAGACTACTCCCTTACAGGAAAATTGTTCTAATTTTTGAAGATAAATAAAAATTTCCCATGATTTCTTACTTCTATAAAATAAACAGTCCCATTCCCTCCAGTAACCATTCCTCAAATAATATAATTCCCTAATCACTCATCATCCTGTTACACTCTGCTGCTCTGCTGCTTGCTGACTGATTTATCACTGTGTAGAGCCAAACAAAGTTGAGATAATTGTATACATATCCATATCCATATTAAGAAACTTTCAAACACACTAGTTTATTCTATGAGAAGTAAAATTTCCGATTAAATTTGTCAAACATGCAATGTACATCTACATACTCCACAGTGGACGTCATTCAACACACAAAGATATTCAGATCTTTGTGGTTGTTTGCAAAGAAATTACAACAAGTTTAGAGAATAACAAACATTTCATTTCACAGTCATTACCTCTCCAGGATTCCTTTTATATCTCTATTATCTCTATAGGTTATGTCACTTTACTCAAGAGAAAATAAACAGTAGACAGTATTCAATAAGAAAGCAACAAATTTGGTTTAAATAGATCAGGAAACACCAAAATTTTCATAAAAGTATGGCAGGAGCATTCCAAATTTCTCCCGAGGATTAGTGAGCCTATTCAACATTTTTCTTGATTTTAATTTAGGCAATATTCCCATTAGATAGTTTACCTAATTAGGGCATTTGTTTAAAGTCCATAATGTTAATTCAATAAAAATTCCAATAAAAGTACATTAGATTTTTTATGTTAACAATGCACACTTTATATAGATAGTGTTATTAAAAGTTATACTGGAACTATCACAATCCAATTCTGTTTCAAACAGCAAAATTACTTTTATTCATAATTATTCAGTAAAGAACTACAAATGTACAGATCACTTACTTAGCAGACTGTGCACTTGGCTGTTGTGACAGAAGAGTCAGTGCAAACTTTCTCAAAATCAAAATAAGATATGGTTTGCTTGTAAGATCAAAAACTCAGAGGATAGTTCTTTGTCTCCCTTACGACCATGGCATAAAATGTACAAACCTATAGTAGCATTTTAAATAGCACAACTATACTGGGATATTTCCAGAAAGGCACATTTTGGGCATCGAGATGTTATCCAAATATATGATGCTATATTTAACTTTTCATGTGAATATTTTAATAGCAAGATAGGTAATGACATGCCTAGTTCTTTACTGTAAGGTCTTGTGCTTCAGTTTTGATTAGGTCTAATCTTACAACTCATCTATTTATATTTACATATAAATTATATACATTTACTACTTAATATTCCATTACAAAAAAGTAAAAAGAGCAAAGAAATATAGAAATTTTAAAGAATGAGATAAATATGTATTTGAGATTTGTATATTAATAGCACATGGTTTCTTGTCCTTACAGTTGGTGAGCACATTGTGATCATGCAGTGTGACAGCCTATACCATGCTTGATTATATTAACATCTCATTTATTCCTCCCTTGGCTTGAAAGGGCTCTTATACTAGGAGTAGAAGTACCATCTCTGCCATTTTCCTTCTGTTTAATTGTGTGATATTTTTCTTCCCTTCCATCTTCCCCAAGGGTTTCTTTGCACAGACTTATTTTGGGAAAGTTAGTTTAATCAAAACCTGATAGTATAATCCATAAATCTATTTTGCTAAGCTGATGTTAAGCCACAGCAGATTCTAAGGCACAGAGAGTAAACAAGGACATGAAGGCACATCTGGATTGAGGTCAATGAATCTTTATTTTAATAAATTCTCGAGGTGTGTCTTGGTTTTCAGACCGCATTTCGAGTCTGATTGATTCAGACTCTGAAATCAATCAAGATTTTAGACTAAATGTAATCCAGCATATAAACAGAACCAAAGACAAAACCCACATGATTATCTCAACAGATGCAGAAAAGGCCTTTGACAAAATTCAACAACGCTTCATGCTAAAAACTCTCAATAAATTAGGGATTGATGGGACGTATCTCAAAATAATAAGAGCTATCTAGGACAAACCCACAGCCAATATCATACTGAATGGGCAAAAAGTGGAAGCTCTCCCTTTGAAAACTGGCACAAGACAGGGATGCCCTCTCTCACCACTCCTATTCAACATAGTGTTGGAAGTTCTGGCCAGGGCAATTAGGCAGGAGAAGGAAATAAAGGGTATTCAATTAGGAAAAGAGGAAGTCAAATTGTCCCTGTTTGCAGATGACATGATTGTATATCTAGAAAACCCCATTGTCTCAGCCCAAAATCTCCTTAAGCTGATAAGCAACTTCAGCAGAGTCTCAGGATACAAAATCAATGTGCAAAAATCACAAGCATTCTTATACACCAATAACAGACAAACAGAGAGCCAAATCATGAGTGAACTCCCATTCACAATTGCTTCAAAGAGAATAAAATACCTAGGAATCCAACTTACAAGGGACGTGAAGGACCTCTTCAAGGAGAACTACAAACCACTGCTCAAGGAAATAAAAGAGGATACAAAGAAATGGAAGAACATTCCATGCTCATGGGTAGGAGGAATCAATATCATGAAAATGGCCATACTGCCCAAGGTAATTTATAGATTCAATGCCATCCCCATCAAGCTACCAATGACTTTCTTCACAGAATTGGAAAAAACTACTTTAAAGTTCATATGGAACCAAAAAAGAGCCCGCATCGCCAAGTCAATCCTAAGCCAAAAGAACAAAGCTGGAGGCATCGTGGCTACCTGACTTCAAACTATAATACAAGGCTACAGTAACCAAAACAGCATGGTACTTGTACCAAAACAGAGATATAGATCAATGGAACAGAACAGAGCCCTCAGAAATAATGCCGCATATCTACAACTATCTGATCTTTGACAAACCTGAGAAAAACAAGCAAGGGGGAAAGGATTCCCTAGTTAATAAATGGTGCTGGGAAAACTGGCTAGCCATAAGTAGAAAGCTGAAACTGGATCCCTTCCTTACGCCTTATACAAAAATTAATTCAAGATGGATTAAAGACTTAAATGTTAGACCTAAAACCATAAAAACCCTAGAAGAAAACCTAGGCAATACCATTCAGGACATAGGCATGGGCAAGGACTTCATGTCTAAAACACCAAAAGCAATGGCAACAAAAGCCAAAATTGACAAATGGGATCTAATTAAACTAAAGAGCTTCTGCACAGCAAAAGAAACTACCATCAGAGTGAATGGGCAACCTAAAAAATGGGAGAAAATTTTCGCAACCTACTCATCTGACAAAGGGCTAGTATCCAGAATCTACAATGAACTCAAACAAATTTAGAAGAAAAAAACAAACAACCACATCAAAAAGTGGGCGAAGGACATGAACACACACTTCTCAAAAGAAGACATGTATGCAGCCAAAAAACACATGAAAAAATGCTCACCATCACTGGCCATCAGAGAAATGCAAATCAAAACCACAATGAGATACCATCTCACACCAGTTAGAATGGCAATCATTAAAAAGTCAGGAAACAACAGATGCTGGAGAGGATGTGGAGAAATAGGAACACTTTTACACTGTTGGTGGGACTGGAAACTAGTTCAACCATTGTGGAAGTCAGTGTGGCGATTCCTCAGGGATCTAGAACTAGAAGTACCATTTGACCCAGCCATCCCATTACTGGGTATATACCCAAAGGACTATAAATCATGCTGCTATAAAGACACATGCACACGTGTGTTTATTGCGGCACTATTCACAATAGCAAAGACTTGGAACCAACCCAAGTGTCCAACAATGATAGACTGGATTAAGAAAATGTGGCACATATACACCATGGAATACTATGCAGCCATAAAAAATGATGAGTTCGTGTCCTTTGTAGGGACATGGATGAAATTGGAAATCATCATTCTCAGTAAAATATCGCAAGGACAAAAAAGCAAACACCACATGTTCTCATTCATAGGTGGGAATTGAACAATGAGAACACATGGACACAGGAAGGGGAACATCACACTCTGGGGACTGTTGTGGGGTGGGGGGAGGGGGGAGGGATAGCATTAGGAGATATACCTAATGCTAAATGACGAGTTAATGGGTGCAGCACACCAGCATGGCACATGTACACATATCTAACTAACCTGCACATTGTGTACATGTACCCTAAAACTTAAAGTATAATAATAATAATAATAATAATAAAAGACTTTAGACTAACTTAAAAATCTCAATGTGAGTACTTAGGTATCTCAGCACCAGGAAACACCGCTTATAGTCCTGTGCTGATTTCACTTTTCAATAGCAAATAAGTGGAAATCTTTTCCTTTCCACACAAAGGCAAAAATATATATCTCAGTCTAATAAGCAACTCTCCTTAAGTTTGCTCACCACCTTCATTCTGTCCTCCTTCATGCTGACCATAGTCTGTCTAGCAGCTGCATATTAGTTATTACCTACGTGCTGTATTCTGTGTCACCTCCACTTGCTGAATTTCCACAATGCTAACACACTGTCTGAATCCCACCTATTGAAGTAAACAAAAAGACCTACTACAATTTGGGTTTCTGATGCGTGTGAGACATGGTTTTAGGCAATTTATATTAATTATCTCAATTTCTGGTTCTTGGAAATGGAAGACCCTACAGCTCCTGTTTTTGTCCTATAGAATGGCAGCTGCCATATAAAGAAGTTTAGGTTATATAGCCACAGATAAAGACCCCTGGAAAATAAGAGGAAGGAGACCACATGGAAAATAACTACATCCCCAGACATGATTGAGCCTATTTGGCAACCCAGAAAGGGAGAAGCCAAGTGCATTTTTGGTTATACGAGATGAAGCACCAGACATATGAGTGAGGCCATCTTGGATGCTCTGGTCCCCAGTGAAGTCATTTCATGTGACACCATGTGGAGCAAAGATGAGCAATTCCTATTAAGCCCCACCCAAATACCTGATCTTTAGAATCACAGGAATATAATAATTGTTTTAGGCCACTATATTTTGGGGTTCTTTTCTTTCTTTCATGACCCACTCAAATCCCATTTCCTTTATGTGTTTCCCAAATACTCTAACCTATTTGAACTCCGCGTGGTTTTCATTGGTTACATAAATCCCCTACTTTATATGATTTAATGTTTATGTGCATGTACAGAGAGTCCCTGACTCACAGTGGTATGACTTGTGATTTTTCTGTAGCTACACGATGGTGCAAATGTGATGATATGTGACCACAAGTTTCAGAGAGTAAGCATAAGTGATTCTTCTCCAAAGGCTCTCTAGGCTGCATTTTTTACTCCTGATATTTCAACTTATGATGGGTTTATCAGGACACAACTCCATCATAAGTTGAGAAGCATCTAAACTATGTATGTGTGCATACACACACATATATACATATATACATACATATATGTATATATACATACATATATGTATATATACATATACACACATATAAACATACACATACTTATATACACACATATATACATGCATATATATGTATATAGACATGCATATATACACACATATACACATACATATAGACATGCATATATGCATACATATACACATACATATATGTATATAC
Source organism: Homo sapiens (assembly GCF_000001405.40). Taxonomy (NCBI): domain Eukaryota; kingdom Metazoa; phylum Chordata; class Mammalia; order Primates; family Hominidae; genus Homo; species Homo sapiens. The sequence continues at coordinate 52,925,729 of NC_000002.12, forward strand.
ACACATGTGTATATACACCTGTGTGTATATACGCACGTATGCATATACACCTGTGTGTATATACGCACGTATGCATATACACCTGTGTGTATATACGCACGTATGCATATACACCTGTGTGTATATACGCACGTATGCATATACACCTGTGTGTATATACGCACGTATGCATATACACCTGTGTGTATATACGCACGTATATACACCTATGTGTGTATATACACATATATACACATATATACACCTATGTATATACACATATATACACATATACACCTATGTATATACACATATATACACATACATATATGCATATACGCATATAGAAACATACATATATGCATATACGCATAGACACATACATATATGCATATATGCAGACACATACATATATGCATTACGCAGACACATACATATATGCATATACGCATATAGACACATACATATATGCATATACGCATATAGACACATACATATATGCATATACGCATATATACACATACACATATATACACACATATATAATATACATATGTGTATATATACACATATACATACATATATATTGTGAAGCATCTCAACATATATACACACATATATACACATGTACATATATATATTATATATATATAAAATTTAGTATAACAATCAGCTACGAGTAACAGAATAGTTAAAACGGACTAAACATGTAGAAATTTACCTTTCTCACCAGATATGTGAATCTAGGGAACTCCTGGTATTTGTTTAGCTTGTCAAGGCCATTTTTTGTCGTTGTTCTCTTAGTCTTTTTCTTGTGCTTACAAGGTGGCTACTATGGGTCCACCCACCATAACTTTATTCAATGAAGGAGAGAGGGCAGTATCAACCATATCTGTCCATTTTTTAAAATTAGAATGTCAAAATCTGTCCCTTGCCCCACTTATTTTTTTTTGTATTGGAAAATCCAGCCTACCCAAAAACCATTCTTTGAAGATAGTGTCTTTTTCCAATTTTGTGGTCTTGGCATCTTTGTCAAAGACCACTTGACAATATATATGAGCTAAAAAATGTGTTGATGCATTATTTCCCCTGCCTGTACAGTAGAGGCATAAAGAATAAGGAGACTGGAAATATAGTAGATATCTTATGAAACATCCTAGAGAGTCTGCCATGATCTCTGCCACAATACTGACTACAGTACAGAGCATATAAAAAGCAACCATATATACGCTTCTTCCGATCAATGAAAAAATAGCAAACTACTACTTTTGTCTCCACAGTAATACTATAAAGTGGTCTGAGTAAAGTCAGTGACAGTAAGTAAAGTCAATGAATGTACAGTTCCAGAAAATTTTCTACTTAACAAAAAATTAAAGACTAGTGAAGATGAAATGTATCATATACAGGTCCCTAGTAAGATCATATTAGAGTAAGAAAATGGAGAAAATACTTTATCAAACCACAAAATCTAAACAAATAAAATGCACACGGACATAAAGGAATGAATATTTGAGGCCAGGGCCTATTTGAGGGTGGAGGATAAAAATCAAACAACTACCTATCAAGTACTATGCTTATTACTTGGGTAACAAAATAATCTGTACAACAAACCCCTGTGACATGTAATTTACCTATATATCAAACCTGCACAGGTACCCCTGAACCTAAAATAAGGGTTAAAAAAATACAAACATAATAAAATAATAGTGCTTAAGACAGAATACTGTTACATGGGTGTTCATGGGCTATGGGAAGCCAGAAAAAAGTAAATCACTGGGAATAAATTTAATGTCTCAAAAACCCTGGAATAAGAAGGTACATCGGACAGAGGTGTTGAAAAGAAGAAAAACAACTAAAGGTCACAGCCAAAACAGTGAAATAGAGATCCCAGAACATTGTATGAGAGCATATAACAGACAATGAACACACCCGCCACCTGTTGCCTAAATTAAACACATAGTCATGTTGACCATTCTTGAGAAAGGAATGTGTTTAACTTAGGAATGTGTTCAATTTAGAGCCATGTTCCTCTAAAATTAGGAAAAAGTCAATGGTTTTTACTGTCACCACTTATATAAACCAGTACTGATGGCTCTTGCCAGAGCAACTGGTCAAGAAAAATAAATAAAAGGTACCAAATTGTAAAAGAGGAAACAAAGTTATCCCTGCTTCTGGATGACATGATCTTACAGGTAGGAAACACTAAAGAGTCCACAGAAAATTGTTAGAACTAATAAACAAACTCAGCAAATTTACAGGATACAAAATTATCACACACAAAATAGTTGTGTTTCTATACATGCTAACAATAAACAACGCCAAAAGAAAATTAAGAAAGCAATTTCATTTATAATATCATCAAAAAATAAAATTCTTAAGCATAAACTTGACCAAAGAGGCAAAGACTTGTACAATGAAAACTACAGAATATTACTAAAAGAAATTAAAGATACAAATAAATCCAAAGACACCTGATTTTCATGGACTGAAAGACTCATTATTAAATGTACCCAAAGCAATCTACAGATTCAATGTAGTCTCTATTAAAATCTCAATGACACTTAACTTATAACAATATTGCCTAATCAAAACAGTGTGGTGGTACTGGCATAAAGACAGACATATAGACCCATGGAATGCAGAGAGAGCCTGGAAATAAACCCTCACATATATGGTAAAATAATCTTTAACAAGCATGCCAACACCACACAAGAGGGAATGCCTCTTCAAAAAATGGTATTGGGAAAACTAGATATTCATATGCAAAAGAATGAGGTTGGACCCTTATTTTATACCATATGCAAAAATTCAAAATGAATTAAAGAAAAATGTAAATGTCAAATTTTAAACTATAAAAATCTAGAAATAAACATAGAGAAGAAGGTTTGTGATTTTGGATTTGGCAATGATTTCTTGTACATAACACCAAAAGCATTGGCAACAAAAGCAAGGTTAGATAAGTGGAACTACATAAAACTTAAAATCTTCTGTACATCAAAGGAAAAAATAAACAGTGAAATGCAACCAACAGAATTGGAGAAAATATTTGAAAATCAGATAGCTGATAAGGGGTGTATTAGTCCATTTTCACAGTGCTGATACAAACATACCCGAGACTTGGTAATTTATACGGGAAAAAGAGTTTAAGGGACTTACAGCTCCATGTGGCTGGGGAAGCCTCACAAGCATGGTGGAAGGCAAGGAGGAGCAAGTCATGTCTTACATGAATGGCCGCAGGGAAAAAGAGAGCTTGTGCAGGGAAACTCCCATTTTAAAAACCATCAAATCTTCTGAGACTCACTTATTATCATGAGAACAGTGCAGGAAAGACCTGCCCCCACAATTAAATCACCTCCCATCAGGTTCCACCCATGACACATGGGAATTGTGGGAGTTACAATTAAAGATGTGATTGGGTGCAGATACAGCCAAACCATATCATTCTGCCCCTGACCCCTCCCAAATCTCATGTCCTCACATTTCAAAACCAATCATGCCTTCCCAAAAGTCCCCCAAAGTCTTAACTCATTTCACCATTAACTCAAAAGCCCACAGTCCCGTGTGTCATCGGAGATAAGGCAAGTCCTTTCCACTTATCAGCCTGAAAAATAAAAAGCAATTTAATTACTTCCTAGATAAAATGGGGGTACAGGCATTAGGTAAATATAGCCATTTCAAATGGGAGTAATTGGCCAAAACAAAGGGGCTACAGGCACCACGCAAGTCCAAAACTGATCAGGGCAGTCAAATCTTAAAGTTCCAAAATGATCTCCTTTGACTTCATGTCACACTTCCAGGTCACACTGATACAAGAGGTGGATCCCCATGGTCTTAGGCAGCTTCACCCCTGTGGCTCTGCAGGGTACAGCCTCCCTCCTAGCTGCTTTCATGGGCTGGCGTTGAGTGTCTCTGCCTTTTCTAGACACACAGTGCAAGCTGTTGGTGGATATTCCATTCTAAGGTCTGGAGGCTGGTGGGCCTCTTCTCACAGCTCCACTAGGCAGTTCCCCAGTAGGGACTCTGTGTGCGGGCTCCAACCCCACTTTTCCCTTCCACGCCACCATAGCAGAGGTTCTCCATGAGACTTCCTCCCCTGCAGCAAACTTCTGCCTGGACATCCAGGCATTTCCATACATCCTCTGAAATTTAAGTAGAGGTTCCAAAACTTCAATTTTTGACCTTTGTGAACCCACAGGCTCAACACCATATGGAAGCTGCCATGGCTTGAGGCTTGAACCATCTGAAGCCATAGCCCAAGCTGTACCTTTGCCCCTCTTAGTCATGGCAGGAGCAGCTGGGAAACAGGGCACCAGGGCCCTAGACTGCATACAGCAAGGGGACCCTGGGCCTGGCCCACAAAACCATTTTTTTCTCCTACGTCAGCTTGCGATGACAGGGGCTGCCATGTAGATCTCTGACATATCCTGGAGACATTTTCCCCATTGTCTTGGGGATTAACATTCAGCTCCTCATTAGTTATGCAAATTTCTGCAGCCAGCTTGAATTTCTCCTCAGAAAATGGGTTTTTCTTTTCTATTGCATTGTCAGGCTGGAAATTTTCAGAACTTTCATGCTCTGCTTCCCTTATAAAACTGAATGCTTTTAACAGCACTCAAGTCACCTCTTGAATGCTTTCCTGCTTAGAAATTTCTTCTGCCGGATACCCTAAATCATCTCTCTCAAGTCCAAAGTTCCACAAATCTCTAGGGCAGGGGAAAAATGCCGCCAGTCTCTTTGCTAAAACACAAGGGTCACCTCTGCTCCAGTTCCCAAGTTCCTCATCTCCATATGAGACCACCTCAGCCTGGACTTTATTGTTCACATCATCAGCATTCTTGCTGAAGCCATTCAACAAGTCTCTAGGAAGTTGTAAACATTCCCACATTTTCCTATCTTCTTCTGAGCCCTGAAAACTGTTCCAGCCTCTGCCTGTTGCCCAGTTCCAAAGTCACTTCCACATTTTGGGGTATCTTTTCAGCAATACTCCACTCCTGGTACCAATTTACTGTATTAGTTTATTTTCATGCTGCTGATAAAGACATACCCGAGACTAGGTAATTTATACAGGAAAAAGTGTTTAACGGCCTTACAATTCCACATGGCTGGGGAAGCCTCACAATCACAGCAGAAGGCAAGGAGGAGCAAATTGTGTCTTACATGGATGGCAGCTAGAAAAAAGAGAGCTTGTGCAGGGAAACTCCCATTTTTAAAACCATCAGATCTCATGAGACTCATTCACTATTATGAGAACAGAGCAGGGAAGACCTACCCCCATAATTAAATTACCTCCCCCTGGGTGCCTCCCAGGACATGTGGGAATTGTAGGAGTTATAATTCAAGATGAGATTTAGGTGGGGACACAGCCAAACCATAACAAGGGGGCTATATTTAGAATATCTAAGAATTTCTACAAATCTACAACAACAGCAACAAAACAAATGACCTGATTTTTAAAAATAGAAAAAGGACTTCAATAGACATTTCTCCAAAAAGGGTACACAAATGGCCAAACAAGCAAATGAAAAGATGCTCAACATCATTAATCATTAGAGAAATGCAAATCAAAACCACAGTGAGATATCACTTCACACCATTAGGACGCTCACTATCATAAAGACAAAACAAAACAAACATCAGTAATGGAAACCCCAGAAAATACCAAATGATGGTCAGAATGTGGAAAAATTAGAACATTTGTGCACTGTTGGTGAAAATGTAAAATAATTAAGCCACATAGAAAATACTATGAAGTTTTCCTTAAAAATTGTTAGAAATAGAATTACCAAATGACTCATCAATCCCACTTCTTGTTATATATCCAAAAAAATAAAAGCAGGATCTCAAAGCGATACGTGCACATCCATGGTCATTTCAGCATTATTTACAATAGCCAAGAAGTGGAAGCAACTCAAACATTCATCAATGGATGAATAGATAAAGAAAGTGTGGTATATATCCCACTGAATATTATTCAGCCTTAGAAATGGGAAATTCTATTACATGCTACAACATGGATGAATCTAGAGGACATTATGCTAGGTGAAATAAGCCATCAGAAAAAGACAAATACTGTTTGATTCTACTCATATGAACTATCTAAAGTAGTTAAAGTCATAGAAAATGAAAGAAAGATAGTTGCTAGAGGCTGAAGGGAGGGGGAAATGGGGAAGTGTTCAAGACATTTAGACTTTCAGTTTTGCAAGATAAAAAAGTCTAGACATCTATTGTACGACACAGTGAATACAGTTAACACCACTGAATTACACACTTAAAAATGGTCAAGGTAGTTAACTAAATTTAATGAGTTTTTACCACAATTGGAAATGATAAACAGCAACAAAATAGCCATCCATATTCTATCCTGCTATATCATCATGTAGCACGTATCGTGATGAAAAGAAATAAGAAGAAATCAAGTTCTTTCTTTCTGTACTACCCCTATAGCAACTATCCATAAATAAGATATTACCTTTAAAATTAACTTTTCTTAAATCTCACCTTCATTAACAATTCTATTTGCACTTTTTTCTCCGTATTATTTGCTCATATCATGATTTTGATTTCCCTGTACCAATTAACAGTAGGAATTTCTCTTTCTCAAGCCAAAAATTTTCATTGCAGTATAGATAGAGATCATACAAATATATACACACACACACACACACACACACACACACACACACACATATAGAGGTCTGATCTTTTTTTCTGAACTGGCTAGTCATGGTTATTTCTATAGTAAAATATTTAATAAGAAACAAAGAAACAGTAATAAATACCATTAGATAATTGGTTGCTTTAAGGTAGAAAGTCTATGATTTCCCCTTTGATAATTAGCTCTACATATCCAATTGTGGGACTTTACACTGAAGTCAATTGAGGTTCACTAAAATTTTGTATTAATTCACTAACAATTATTCAGGCATTGCAGTAATTTCCTCTCTTAAATGATAACAGATTCCTAATATACTTGGTTGGTTTATCTGTCCCCTTGGTTACTTACAGTTACAGTCATTATTTTACAAATTAAATTTTCATTCTCTTTGCATTTATGAAAGCATCTTTTATTATGGAGGATGGCAAAGCATGATATAAACTTTTTCTTATGTAGAAGCAAAGTGGAGATCACAGAGGTATTTTATCACAAATTATGAGATGGGAAATTAGCTAAAAAATGCCAAATATTGAGATGCTGGATTTTTTTTTTACATCCCTTCTGCCATACTGAGTTGAATAGCTAGGAATCTTAACTCTTTTAGGGAGAGAAGTTGAATGTGAGACCCTTTAAAAACACCAGTTCAGCATAATCAGTATAAAGTGATATGAGACAAAAAGAGATTTTAACAAAACAGCAGAGGAGACCAAGCTTAAAACACATTTCTCAGAATTCTCCTCCCTGTACAGCTCTAGATTCGTTTTCGCCACAGGAGACATTTGCATGCAATTTAGAAGACAGAAGTGAAGAAATAGTCATACATTTTTATACTTTAAAGCTTGATACAGAGCATCAGGCAGTGTAGCAGCTCAGCAATGAACTAGGGCAGTATTTCCTGAAGCTCCCACCTAAATCCTCCCCTTCAGTTTATTTTATTATTGGGTTAAGGATATGTGTAACTTACAGTGAAGGACATAACCTTTCCCTCCAGGTAACCAGTCACTGCACCAAGGTTAGAGATGGTGAGAGACAGACATAGGTCCCAGTTGTTGTCATGAGCTCTAGTTATTGACTTTACACATCCTGGTTTTCTTTAGAGTAGCACTCTGGATGACCAAAACAGCTTCAGAATCAACACAAGACAGAGGGTACACAGCCTGCTCTAATAGGTCAGTCCCGCAATTGCATAAGGTTTAACTCTTAAAGTAAATCATTCAATACCACTTGACGATCTGTGGGTATTCTGCTTCTCTGACTAAACCTTGACTAATTACAAGGGTCTGCAAGAAACTTTGTAGAGGTAATAAGTCGATTGTACCAATGGTCCTAATTATCCATGCTTTTTTTCCTGAAATTATACAGTCCCTCCATGCTCTGATTTTGGGTTCAGTCATGTGACTTACTTTAACCACTGAGATATTAGCAATATCCAACCTTGAAAAGTATATGCTCATTTTTCCTTGTCATCTTCCACAGTTGAGACTGTTTGCTCTTAGATACCCCACTGAAGGGATTGGGCTGCTGAAGGGATAGGAGGTATTAAAAACCACTCTAAGCCTAGTCTCCCTTAGCTGGATAATTATTCATGACATGATCAGGCCTCTGTGAGATGAGCCAAACCTAGCCAAGATTAGCAGAGCAACATGGCTCTATCTTCACGAGAAATGTTTAAAATGTTGATTATTTAAGGAGTTTGGAATGCTTTGTAACATAACAATTGTTAACTAATGCAGTAAGCACAGATCAACTTACTGCAAAGAAATATTTCCCATATCTAGGGGCTGGAGAACAGGGAGGAAACTAGCACTTATTGACTATTCACCATTCATGCCTTTCCACGTTTTAAATATATGCTATTATATTTAACACAACAATAGCAACATAAAGGAGATACTCTTTCCCCATTTCATAAATAAAGAGACAGGCACCAAGTTCTGCTGATTATCTAAATGCAATAAAATATAATGCCAAATAAAATGAAAAAAACACAAGCGAGGAGACATTTAATCTTTAGAAGATGATATGAGGAATGTTGCAATTACCTGTCTGAATTTCATCATTGGTGGAATGTCCAAAGGTACAAAACAGCAGACAAAATAATGAGAACACATTCTCTGGGAAACACAGACAAGTTAAAGGAAGAATGTTTTGTCTCAGCCTTGTTTTGGCCCTGCGCTCAGCCTCACTTTTAACTCATTTTACAACGAGTTTGATAAATTCAGGACCAGTACTTAAGCCAAGATCAATACTGTGACTTCCAACATTTCAAATTTATAGAGGAGAAACTATGACTCATAGGGACTGAGTCATTTTTTGAAAGTTAATACAAAGCAACACTTTGTATTAACATAGGGTCATTTTTCCAAAGAGCTCCAAGCATTTGATGTTCTACAAATCTGATTCAGTATTCTTGAAATGCAGAACTGAGAGATGACACAACTGAAACAGAAAACAGTGAAGTGGCTAAATCTTTGTCTTTAAGATAATCTTTAAATGATAAATGAAATCACCTGAATGAGGTGAAAGACTGAAAATATAATCAAGACAGTAGCGTGGAGGGAAGGGAAGGGTTGACCACATTTCAGATTTTTAAAGTGTTTAACTCCCCTTCCTAGCTATTTTCTATTAAATTAAATTAAATGAAAATAAAATATAATGGTTTTGTAGGAAAATCTCAGAAGTGGCTCCCAGTACTGCTCTGTTAAATTGTTAGGTGAAACCTGGACTTAGAGGTACAGTACCTCTGTATACATATTAGGACGACCATGGGCAGAGGACAAGTTACCAGTGGTGCACACATCACATAGATGTGATCCATATGTTACTCTCAGATTTCTGTTTCTACTCAGTTGTATTCCCTACAGAAAAAGATATTCATATTCATAAGTGGTTATTTTCTAGATAAAATGAGAAATATAGCTATAATAGTGAAATGAGAAATTAAAAAACAAAACAAAACAAAAAAGATGGCTTTTCCTTATCTTTTCCTAGGTAAGGGACCACCTTCAGGCTCTGCTGATAATGGCCGTGTGGTCTACTTAGTAAAATTCACTTGAAAAACCAGACATCTAAACCCATTTTATTCAGAATTAGAAACTAAAACTGAAACTGAAATTAGAACTGAGTGACATTTTAAGTTAATTCTTTAACGGCTTATTTGTTGTTCTTTTTCAGTCTGCACAAGCCCATACAAAAATAAAATCTTACTTGTGATTTTATGCAACATAAATTATATCTCTTCCACACAGTCCACATAGAAAAGTATATAAATCTATGGCCAGCAAATGTTTGCTATTCCATTACTATGATATTTAGGAGAACACCAACACCAGATCCTCAACACTCTCAGTTGGAAATAAATGCACTTTTTTCCCTTCTTATTTTAGCAAAAAAAAAATTTATAAATTCGTTTCACATAAAAATAACTAGCTCAGTATAAGGAAAGACTGAAGAATGTTGTAAAATAGAAGGATACAGAAAAGTGGAATTGAGTTTTAGGCATTCGTAAAATATTTGTTCAGAAATCTCATATTATGTAAGTCTTTGCTCATTTCTAAGATACACACAAAAAATGTTTGGACAAATAACTATTGAAAGGTTGTCCTGTCTCCATTTTTACCAATAATCACTGAACATTCTTGAAACACTTCTGTTCCTCACCTATAGATATTACCACCCAAAACTCAAAATGACAACTGCCCTGTATCCAGTAGATAATTATTAATTTTGCTGCAATCACGAAAGAAAATCCGGTAGGTTTAAGCATCATCTCTTATTACTGCACCATCTAAAGGTATCACCTCTAGCAGCAGATTACAGGAAACAGAACATTTTTTTTCTCTTTGGTTGCTGAGTAGCTGAGTCAGGCCATATGAAGTCAATCGTTGCTATGACAATGTACGAAACAGGGAGAAGATAATATGTTTGACTACAGATAATTCATTTACCTATAATGACCCTTTTTTGTTTGATATCCATATGCTTACTTGGAAGGGATAGTCATGCATACTTTACCATATAACCATTTTAATCATATTTATGAAACAGGTACCCATCATTTTTACTTAAGTAAAAAGATCAGATGATCTACTTGTACTCCGTGAGATTTTTTTTTCACCTCTTCATTTATTTTGCTTTCTGGTTAACAGTGGCATGGGTAAATAATACATCTTTATGTCTTCTCTTTCTCCTGTCACAATGTGAAGTAAACTCATATGTTAAGAATGTAAATAAGTTTTTACTATGGCATATTGCAATAAACATTTTACTATTCAATAGGAAGTTGAAACACAGTGATATAAGCCAGGCAATGTAAAAGCAACACAAACTCAGGATTCCCAAGTGTTATAATTCAACCATACGAATTTGTCCTACATTGAAATCATGCACACACATACCTGTACACACAGAAATTTATTTTCAATCAAATTTTCAGAAACTATCTGTAGCTATTTTTCACATTTATGACTGCAAGTCATCAGTTCACATGGTAGATAATTATTTCCCTCTCCACTCTTATAGTTGATTTTATTATAGGAGGTACCATGTTGTGTGCTATATTTACTGGTCAATTCAGAAATTTACAAAGTTAATGTTTGGAAGAATATATCCACAGTCCTTACCATGTTACAATGAGGCATATATCTCTAAATATCAAAGATTGAATTCTCTACTTGGCCTAGAAACTCACAGACCAGAAAAACATTCTCAGAAGTGATGCTAGTAGCTGACCAAATCACTTTGGGAAAAAGAAAAAAAAAAAAAAAACCCTGTTTAGCACAGCATAACATAGGAAAGGAAACAAGAAATTTGGATTTTGAATTCTGGATTTGCTAATTATTTACCCCGTTGAATTAGGAAAAAATATTTAGTTTCTAGAACCAGTAGTTTTCTCATCAGTATAGAGAAAATTGCAATTACATGAATAAAAGCACACTAGTATGATGTCCAATTATTAAAATTGGTTAAAACAAAATAAAAAATTAGGAAAATGTGGAAGCCTGATGTGCTATTCTTAAATGCCCGATTTACCAACTTCACCTTTAATAAAAGAGAAGAAACCTTGAGAGAATTTTAGACCTCATGTCAACAGTCAATCTCAGGAAACCTAATGAGAAGAGCATCTCGAAAGCAATTCAGGTTGGTATCATTTGAGTAAATATGACTTCAGAATCAGAAATATATCTGTCAATCACCTTCAACCCTATGTTAATTCAGTAGTAAACAAGTAAGCATAGCCCAAGCAGTATTTGTCCAATAGTTAAATCAATATGACTCTTTTCAAAGATTAAAAAATAATACTGGCATAGGTGTCATTTACTGCCTCCTATATAATTGTGAGAGAAAAGGATATAAGTATTTTGAAGTTGAAAAACTAACATTTGATGGAATGCCACAAATATCCGAATGCTATGGTGAAAATGGAAGACGAAATGATCATATATGTTCATCTTTCATCTTTCCCCAATCACACTAACATAATAGAAGATATACAGTATAAATCTATAGGATAACAAAGAACAATGCCATGAGTAGAAGAGAAATGTTTAGAACTTCATGATAATATGAAGGGAGGGGAATTTTATCAACGGTTGACTCCAACAGAGATGATAATCCTCAACATAAAATGATGGAGGACAGAGGACAATTATGCTAAGTGAAAAAGGTCAGACACAGAAAGACAAATACTACATAATATCACAGACAGACATTGTTTTATGTGTACTTCTCTTTATTGCTCTGATACTTGTCTACAGTTCCTGGCTCATAACTCCATAACTCCTTTAGTTCTTGTTAAAATGTTGGGACCCTTAAGGTTTCAGAAGGTCTCAGAAAATACAATCTCTCTCTTTCTCTTTCTCTCTCTATCTGACCTTCTCCTATCCTTCTTTCATTTGCTCCTTTTTCTCCCCAAAGCAGACATCTTCCCCTACCTTTTTTTTCTTGGAGCTGGCCATAAAGAAATTCTCTGACCTACCTAGTCTGATTTGTAGGTCATAAGACTCTAATTTAAGAAGTCGTGCCCTGTACCCTGGAGGAACAATGCTGCAGAGAGAGGACAAGAAAAATATGGATAGACAGATTTTGATGGGTTTCTCCACTCAGTCTATTAGTATTAGATCATACCCTTTTTGTTTTGTCACATGTCTACACAGTTGGCCATGCTTCATGCCTATACAATGAAGTTTCCAGGAAAGGCTGAAGAGGATGAAATACGGAAGAGCTTCTGGGTAGCTGAACATCTGCAGTTCCTGGAGGGAACCTCTTCCCACATGCCTGTGCATCCCTTCTTCTGTATCCTTTGTAGTATCTTTACAATAAATTGGTAAGCATGTTTCCCCGAGTTCTCTGAGTCACTCTCACAAATTAAACCCAAGGAGTGAGCTGTGGGATCCCTAATTTATAGACAGCCAGAAGCACAGGTCAAACAACCTGGGGCTTGCAATTGGTATCGGGAGTAGGGATCAGGCTTGGGGATGGAGTGCTCAAGTTGTGGGATCAGACACTATCTCCAGGTAGTGTCAGAACTGAATTGAATTACAGGACACTCAGCGGGTGTCTACCGCAGAATTGATTGCTTGGTGCATAAGGAAAAAAACCTACACACTGGGTCACAGAAATCTTCAGTGTTGATTGATGTGGTACGACAGCAGAGGAAAATCAGTTTGTGTTTTTCCACACAATTGTGCTTCACAAATATTGAATTTTTTACAAGTTGAAAGTTTGTGGCAACTCTACATGGAACAAGTCTATGGGTGCCATTTTCCAACAGCATGTGCTCACTTCACGTCTCTGTGTCACATTTTGGTAATTCTCACAATATGTCAAACTTTTTCATTATTATTATAATATCTGTTACAGTGATTGTGATCACTGATCTTTGGTTTTACTATTGTAACTCTTTGGAGAAGCTACTAACAGTGCCCATATAACACACTGCACGTAGCTGATACATCTTGTGTGTGTTCTGACTTCTCCACAGACCAACAGTTCCTCCATCTCTCCCTCTGTTCTTGGGCCTCCCTCCCTGAGTCATAATAATATTGAAATTAGGCCAATTAATAGCCGTACAATGGTCTCTGAGTGATTCAAGTTAAAGGAAGAGTTGTATGTTCCTTCCTTTAAATAGAAAACTAGAAATGATTAAGCTTAGTGAGAAAGGCATGTCAAAAGCTGAGATAGGCCAAAAGCTAGGCCTCTTCTGAGTAACAATCATCCAAGTGGTGAATGTAAAAAAAAAAAAAATTTTTCAAAGGAAATTAACAGAAACTCCAGTGAACATATAAGTAATACGAATATAAAACAACCTTATTGATAATATTGGAGAAAGTTTTAATGGTCTGGATAGAAAACCAAACCATTCATAACACTGTATTAAGCCAAAGCCTAATTGAGAGCAAGGCCCTAACTCTCTTCAATTCTATGAAGCCTGAGAGAGGTGAGGAAGCAGTGGAAGAAAAGTTTCAAGCTAGCAGAGGTTGGTTCATGAGATTTATGGAAAATAGCTATCTCTACAACATAAAAGTGCAAGGTGAAGCAGCAAGTACTAATGTTGAAGCTGCAGCAAGTTATCTGAAATATCTACCTAAGATCACTGATGAAAGAAACAACATATTTTCAATGTAGATAAAACAGCCTTCTATTGGAAGAAGATACCATCTAGGACTCAGCTAGAGAAGAGCAGTCAATGCCTGGCTTCAAATCTTCAAAGGTCAGGCCATGCTGGGGGCTGATGCAGCTGGTGACTTTAAATGGAAGCCAATGCACACTGACCATTCTGAAAATTCCAGGGCCCTTAAGGATGATGCTAAATCTACTCTGCATGTGCTCTATAAAAGGAACAACAAAGTCTGGATGACAGAACATTTGTATATAGCATGGTTTACTGAATATTTTAAGCCCACTGCTGAGGCATATTGCTCAGAACATTACTGCTCATTGACATTGCACCTAGTCGCCCCATAGCTCTGATGAAGATTAATGTTATTTTCATATGTGTTAACTCAATATCCATTCTGCTGTAGCTCATGGATCAAGGAGTAATGTTGACTTTCAAGTTGTGTTATTTCAGAAAAACATTTATTAAGGTTATAGCTGCCATAGGTAGTGATTCCTCTGATGGATCTGCGAGAGGAAATTGAAAACCTTCTGAAAAGGAATCACCACGCTAAATTACATTAAAAACATTTGTGATTCATGGGAGGTCAAAATAGCAACATTAACAGGAGTTTGGAAGAAGTTATTCTAACCCTTATTAATGAGTTAGTTAATAACCCATTATCATTCTGTTTCTACCACATCTGCAGTAGAATTATAATTAGACCTAAATTAGAAGTAGAGACTGAAGATATGACAGAATTGATGCAATCTCATGATAAAACTTTAATGGATGATGAGTTACTTCTTATGGATGAGAAAAGAAAGTGGTTTCTTGAGATGGAAACTACTCGTGGAGAAGATGCTGTGAAAATTGTTGACAATAATGGGCTTAGAATATTACATAAAATTAATTGGTAATCAGCAGTTTGAGAGGATTGACTCCATTTTTGAAAGAGGTTCTACTGTTTGAAATGGTATCAAACAGTTTTACAGGCTACAGATAAGTATTTCTTAAAAGGAATAGTCAATTGAGGTAATAAACTTTAAGTTGCCTTATTTTACCACAGCCACCCCAAAGCTCAGCAACTACCACCCTGATCAATCAGCAGCCATCAACACTGAAGCAACACCCTCCACCAGCAAAAAGATTATGACTCACTGAAGGCACTGGTGCTCATTAGCGTTTTGTAGCAATAAAGTTTTTTAAATTAAGGTATGCACATTTTTTAGACATAATGCTATTGCAAACTTAATAAACTAAAATATAGTGTAAATATAGCTTCTACATGCAAGGGAAAACTAAAACACTTGTGTAACTCACTTTATTGTGATATTTGCTTTGTTGCAGTGGTCTGGAAGTGAACCCACAATATCTCCAAGGTATGCCCGCACTTATATGTGGAATCTAAAAAAGGTGAACTTGTAAAAATAGAGTAGAATGGTGGTTATCAGGGCTACATGAGTGGGGGAAATGGGAAGTTGTTGGTCAAAGGATACAGACTTTCAGTTGTAAGACCAGTAAATTCTGGAGGCTTAATGACTATAGTTAATAATATATTGTATACTTGGCATTTGCTAAGAGAATAGCCCTTGACTGTTCTCATCACACACAAAGGGTAACTATGTGAGATGATGGATATGATAACTAGCTTGCGATGAACACTTCACAATGTATATTTACATTATGTATATCTAATAATCACATTGTACAACTTAAATGTATACAATTTTTATTTGTCAATCATACTTCAATGAAGCTGGAGAAAAAGATAAAAGGAAAGGGCAAATGCTACAAAAATAATAAAAGACAGGACCACTAAAAACAGAAACCTGGAATTATCCCAATCAGATGCAGCAGAGGATGGAAGCCAGAACTGGATGGTCAGTGAGATAATTGATTAACAATCGGTAGAACAGGTGCAACAATTTCCTACTTTCAGTGCTGCAGGCTCTGATGTTCTCCATCCAGCTAAACTCACAAGAATTGTTTGGGGACTAATAGTGAATCTGCTATTGGACATTCCCAACATAAGTATCCCCTGGAGCTAAGGGGTGTCTCAAATTGAGAAAGCTAATTATTATCCCATACTCAAAGAGAAAGACAGGCTGATCACATGTTCCCATCCTGTACTTTCACATAAGCTCAAAATTCTATCAGAATTTGAATTTTCTGCTAGGGAAGCAGAGAATATTCACTGGTGATGAATAAAAACATATTCCAGAAAAATATACCACTCTTACAAGAACCTTGCACTACAAACAGATGACTAAGATTTTCCATGAAACGCTTAAGACAACAGCATAAAAGAAAGACACTGGAATGAAAACAAGACCAAAACTAACTTTCAAAAAAGAGAATACAGGTAGGAAAACACATACATTTTAAAATAATTACAATTAGTGTCCTCAGGAACATATGTAAAACAAGAGCAGGCTGTTATGAAAGAAAAGTAAAGTTATTGGAGATTAAAAATGGTATTCCATAAAAGAGAATAATAATGAATCCAAAGGATAAGTGGTAAGATTGACTCAGCTGAAGACAAAAGGACAGCACTAGAAATCTAGAGATATTTTCAAAATTCTATTCAAAAACACAAAGACATGATTGCTTTGAAAGCAGTTAAGAAGCATGGATGATATACACAGGAAATACAATCCAATGCCAATTCAAAAGGAAAGAAAAAAGAAGAAAAAGGGAAAAGCTCTCGCCTGCATGAGTCTAGCCCTATATTTTTTCCTGCTACAAGATAATTAATCATGGAGGTGTACATGTCCTTCAGAGAAAACCCACTTGCCTCTCTCACATATAAATATACCTTCAAGATGTGATCTGATCCCCTGACTTAATCACATTAAGCAACAGTATATTTTCCCAAATCTGGCTCATTTCAAGAATGTAATCTATTCATATTTATTGCCATCACTATTACATTGGTTTTATTTCAGCCATATTAGTGAATTAAACATAGCTGTATATAAAATAGAGACGAAAGACATATGATGATGTAAATATACTAGAAGTTTATGCATCTTGTGCTAATGGTTTGCATGGGTGTCCCCTCCAAAATTCATGTTGAAACTTAATCCTCACTGTAGTGACAGTGGGCAAGTTGGGAATACTTATGTTTGGGCAAGTGATTAAGTGACGAGGGCTCTTCGCTTAAAAAAGGATTCATCCCTTATAAAAGAGCCTTTTGAGAGTTTTCCCCTTTCTGCTCTTCCATCTTCCACCATGTGGGGATAGAGCATTCCTCCCTTCTGGAGGATGCAGCAACAAGACACCATCTTAAGAGCAGAGAACGGACCTCCCCAGACACCAGGGTCAGTGCCTTGATCTTGGACTTACCAGCTTCCATAACTGTGAGAAAATAAGTTTCTAGCATTTATAAATTAACTAATTGTGGTATTTTGTTATAGCAGTACAAATGAACTAAGACATTATGTAATAGTCTAGAGTGGTACAGAGTAGCAAGGAGCAGAAGGCTGCTCCATACAATCATTTGAAGGACTCACACGAATAGAGGCCACCTTCAGTGAATCAAGTCCAAGTTCATGATAGTCATCTTCACCCAGTCTGAGGAAACAAAAAGTATCCAGGAGTTGCCATGAGGGAACTTCAGAGATCAGTCCTGGAAATGACACATACCACTATTTCTTATGCCCTCATGGCTAAAAGTCACATGACTACAGCTAATAGCACAAAAAGATAGGCCTAGATTTTGGTTAGATTCTAGCACAGCCATCTTATTTTTCAATGTCTTCATATTTTGTTTCTTTTATTGCTGTTGTTGTTGCTGTTGTTTGCAGTTTTTTGTTTGTTTGTTTTGGGGGAGGTTGTTTTAACATTTAAGTTCAGGGGTATAAGTGCAGGTTTGTTACATAGGCAAACTTGTGTCATGGGGGTTGATACACAAATTATTTCATCACTCAGGTATTAAGTCTAGTATTCATTAATTGTTTTTCCTGATCCTCTCCCTCCTCCAACTCTCTGCCTTCCAAAAGTCCCCAGGGTGTGTTGTTCCCCTCTATGTGTCCATGTGTTCTCATCATTTAGCTCCCAGTTATAAGTGAGAACATGTGGTATTTGGTTTTCTGTTCCTGTGTTAGTTTGCTACGGATAATGGCCTCCAGCTCCATCTATGTCCCTGCAAAGGACATGATCTCATTAGTTTTTATGGCTGCATAGTATTTCATGTGTATATGTAACACATTTTCTTTGTCCAGTCTATTATTGATGGGCATTTAGGTTGATTCCATGTCTTTTCTATTGTGAATACTGCTGCAATGAACATACGTGTGCATGTGTCTTTATAATTGAAAAATTTATATTCCTTTGGGTATATATCTGTTAGTGGGATTTCTGGGTCAAATGGAATTTCTGTCTTTAGGTCTTTGAGGAATTACCACACTGTCTTCCACAGTGGCTGAACTAATTTACACTCCCACCAACAGTGTAAAAGCATCCCTTTGTCTCCACTACCTCACCAGCATCTGTTATTTTTTGACTTTTTAATAACAGCCATTCTGACTGGTGTTAGATGGTATCTCACTGTGGTTTTGATTTGCATTTCTCTAATTATTGGTGAATTTGAGCTTTTTTTCATGATTGCTGGCCATAAATATGTCTTCTTTTGAGAAGTGTCTGTTCATGTCTTTGCCCACTTTTTAATGAGGTTGTTTGTTTTTCTTGTAAATTTGTTTCAGTTCCTTATAGATGCTGGATAGTAGACCTTTGTCAGATGTATAGTTTGCAAAATTTTTCTCCCATTCTGTAGGTTGTCTATTTACTCTGTTGACAGTTTCTTCTGTTGTGCAGAAGCTTTTTAGTTTAATTAGATCCCATTTGCCAATTTTTGCTATTGCTGCAATTGCTTTTGGCATCTTCATCATGAAATCTTTGCCTGTGTCTATATCCTTAATGGTATTGCCTAGGTTGTCTTCCAGGATTTGTATAGGTTGGGGTTTTACATTTGTCATTAATCCATCTTAAAACAGACATATAGACCAATGGAACAGAATAGAGAACCCAGAAATAAGACCACACACCTACAATTATCTGACCTTCAACAAATCTGACAAAAACGAGCAAGGGGGGAAGGATTCCCCATTCAATAAATGGTGCTGGGATAACTGGCTAGCCATATGCAGGGCACATTTTGTTTCTTTTTTCTTTACTATTACTTATGTTCATCGTATATTATTTGCTTTTTATCTTGTCCTACATTAGGTATTTCAATTTTATTTATATTCTACTAATGATTATACTCAAATTTATAGCAAACGTGAAAATATAGATTCATATTAATATTAAAAAATAATGTGAACATACAGCCTTTTTCATTTGTAACAAGATTAACAGACATTTAATTATTTTATCCTCTTCTCAATTTTCTTTTAATTTCTCAATTTTCTAGCTTTAAATTATTATTTAATAATATCTCTATTGTTAAATCCCTGCCTAACAATTGAACTTAATTTCATAGCTCATTGTTTATTATTTCTTGTATCTTATTTTTTCACTATCACTCAGTCTTCTGTTTCCTACAGTACCTTTATAAGTAATTTAATTTTCAATATGACTAGTGGGTGATACATTTCTAGATGGCTATATGTTCAAAAACGTCTATTTTTTTCTCATATAGGTAGGATATTTGTACTGTCTTTGTAATACTAAATCCAAAATTCTTTCTCTGAAATGAGGGTATCAGAGCAGTCATAGAGGCAAAATGCCAGCTGAGAATTGTCCCATCAGAGTAGAAAACTCATGGGCTCCCCAGTAGTGGAGACTGCCCCATGTCAATGATGCACTGGGAAAATGAGGACCTTTTGAGACATACCTAAGTTTTTTCCTGTGATATATGCTTAGAAGTAACTAAAAAAGAATTCAGGTGCTAATATCAGATATATAATCCAATAATGGGGTTCGGGCCTTCCTTGTTTGCCTTTAAAATGGAAATAAAAGCTCATTTTTAAAATCATAAACAGCGAAAAGCACAGAGTATATACTAAATAATTATAATACAATAATGACAACCATTCATAATCTTTATTGAGCACCTACTACCTGTCGGATCCTGTAGGAGGGCTTTCACATACACTATTTCTAAGATAACAGTTCAGCAAGGTCTGATGATTACTTCTATTTTACATGTGAGAAAACAGACTTATTGAGATTCTCTTCCTCGAAGTCACACTACCAAATGGGATTCTAAACTAGCTCTATCTAACTCAAATTCAAGGCTTTTTCCTATAGATTACTTGTCTTATTTTAAATCTAAGATATTATTTTAATTTTACCTCTTTCAAAACAGATTTTGACTGCTTTATAAGTTTACTGTTGAATGTGCTGATAACATTCTGAGTACTTAAAATGCAGTTCATCTGAATGTATTGGAAATGTAAAATACACAGGGATTTAAAAGGTGATATTGTAAAATAATGTAAAATGTCTCATAACTAAATATTATACCGATTACTTGTTGAAATTATAATATTTGTGATATATTGATATAAATTAAATATATTATTAAAATCATCTTACTAGTTTTACTTTTTAAAATACTGTTACTAGAAAATTTAAAATTATATATATGGCTCAAATTGTACTTCTATATGATAATGCTGCTCTATAAAGAGCTAAATTTAAAAAAAATATGGATTAACTACTGGACAACCTAGTTGGTTAATAGCTATGGTAATTTAATGATTAATCCATTTATTCATTAATTCTCTTAACAAATATTTATCAAGTACCCATTTGTGGCTAAGCCTTGTTTGAGGTCCTGAAAATAGATCAGGAGAGAAAAGCAAGAAAAAAAAAAAAAAAAAAACTCTGACCTTATGGAGTTTACATTCAAGCTGCAAGTTAGTTCTGCCAATGGGTTCTTACCATTCCTTTCTCATCTGCTAAAATATGGTCCAACATCATCTTTTCTACGATTCCTGAAATTAAGAGTTCTAAAACTTAAAGTCACGAATTAATTTAGAATAGAACATATAGGTAAAATAGGTACATGAACTAGAAATACGGCGAAAAATATTTGTTTATAGAATCAGGCATTTGGTCTTGTAGTTGCCAAACTGCAGTCACTAAACCTTGTTCTTTCGGTGGTTTAGTAAGCCAGTGGCTTACTTAAAGGGGTGCTGCAGTGCAGTGAAGATCACTATTTTATTTTATTTTTTTTAGCAAACAATTACTCTACATCATTTCAGAAATGTCTCAATGTTAAAACCTCTTAGGGTGCTTAATGATTACTTATTAGGTACAGATTATAAAAGACATTTTCCTTCTGGGCAAACCAGAATAAAGGTTTACAAGCCTATGAAAGAATATTTGATGGATTACCTCAAAATCCTTACATATGGACAGGCTTCCAGCTTTTTCTTTTTCTTCTTTTTATTTTAACAGATATATTTCAGGCACTGTGCTGGTGTGCTTGTTTTCATATGCTATTGCAATTATTCCACTTAACTAATGAGAAAATTGATGGTCCCAGAAATTAAACATAGTATCCTAATTTTACATGATGATAAGCACAGATATACAATTCAAAACTACACTTGCATGTTTCTTGCCTTGTTTAATTTTTACTTTTCTTTCTAACCCTAACCCTAACCCTTTCTCTGTTTTGAGTATTCCATGTTTGTTTGCTTGGTTTAAGCTAATTCCAAAAGTTTCACATATTCAGATGGTATAATCTGTTTCACTACTTACTATTCATTTAACTCCCCTCTTCTTTAATTTCTATACATTTTGACCCTGACAATCTCCTAGTCTGCAGGTTCAAACCCATCTAAATACTCTTTTAATCTCCAAACACCTGAAACATTCTTCTACCTTTCATTTTCAGTATCTCCTACAGGCATGACAATGCCCCAAATTATTTATTTCATTCCAACATTCTTTAAACTACTATTCTACCCTCTCTCTCAGACTCAGGCTGCAAAGGTACCTACTTCTCCTC
Source organism: Homo sapiens (assembly GCF_000001405.40). Lineage (NCBI taxonomy): Eukaryota > Metazoa > Chordata > Mammalia > Primates > Hominidae > Homo > Homo sapiens. The sequence goes on from NC_000002.12 coordinate 52,947,926, forward strand.
TTTCTCTGTCTCCCATCTCAGCTTTTTATTATGTAGATCAATTTAACCTCTTTCTTTCTATTTCCCTATTTTTCAGGACAAAGATTCTGCAGAACTTAGGAAAAGTCCAGAAAGATGACCCAGTGATAAAGAATATCTTCTGTCCAAGAAAGGGCATAAAATGAAAAGAGAAAAGGGGGTAAAATTTTAACCACTTGTAATCCAAAACCTTATCTTTCATCTGTCAAGGGACATTAGATAACACCAGGACCACCACGGCTACTTCAGTCCTTTTCCTAAACCATAAGTTTGTAATTGGTAATCTAAGACCTGTCAATTAACTATCTGTGTACCTGGATTTTTGTATCAAAGCTCCACTCCCCAGTGAGATATAGTGCTTTTTTATCTTGTGGGTTGGTTGTTTTCAGAATCATAATTAGAGGTTTAATAGCCTATTAGAATAACCAATGGCATATACCTCAGAACCCTGCAAGTGTGCTCATTTGACTATGCTCCACCCTGGCATTAGTTAGTATTAGTGCCTAGCTGTGCCTCTCAACTAACCTTGCAGTGAGCACTGCCAAACCTAGCCACTATTGCATTCAACAAATGTACCTCCATCAGTGCAGTGGCGTGATCATGGCTCACTGCAGCCTCAAATTGCCAGACTGGCCTCAAGTGATCCTCCCACCTTGGCCTCCCAAATTGCTGGAATTACAGGCGTGAGTCACAATGCTGGCCTTTTCACTTTCTTTTCTAAGACTCTTTTTCATTAGGACAAATTCACACCTCACTTTTTCTTTTCTGCTCTAAGCTGTATCACTTGAAATAAAAAATGGTAAGTAATTTGTCGAAATACTGTCAGCTTTTTCATACAATGATTCAAACAACTTCTATGGTAAATGGGACTATGAATAGCAGAAAGTTAAAAGAAAAAAAAAACCTAAATTAAAGATCTATGGATAATTCCCCAATTAAATCAACTGCTTTGCAATATCCTTCACTTAACTTTCTAAAATAGGTGCCAGTAATGAATCCCAACTCAGCTTCATTTTTTTTATTTTGACTATATCCCTGTAGTTATGTGATAAATGTCTGTATCAGTCTGTTCTCACACTGCTAATAAAGACATATCCGAGAATGAGTAACTTGTAAAGAAAAGAGATTTAATTGACTCACAGGTCTGCATGGCTGGGCAGGCCTCAGAAAACTTTCAATCATGGTGGAAGAGGAAGCAAACACATCCTTCTTTACATGGTGGCAGGAAGGATAAGTGCCGAGAAAAAGACCCTTAGAAAACCATCAGATCTCCTGAGAACAGCAGCATGGGGGTAACTACCCCCATGATTCAATTACCTCCCACCGGGTCCCCCCCACAATATGTGGGGATTATGGAAACTACAATTCAAGATGAAATTTGGGTGAGGACACAGCCAAACCGCATCATTCCACCCCTGGTCTCTCCCAAATCTCATGTCCCCACATTTCAAAACACCACCACACTCTTCCAACAGTCCCCCAACGTCTTAACTCATTTCAGCATTAACTCAAAAGTTCAAGTCCAAAGTCTCATCTGAGACAAGGCAAGTCCCTTTTGTCTATTAGCCTGTAAAATCAAAAGCAAGTTAGTTACTTCTTAGATATAATGGGGGTACAGGCATTGGGTAAATAGACCTCTTCCAAATGGGAGAAATTGGCCAAAATGAAGGGGCTGCAGGCCCCATGCAAGTCCGAAATCCAATAGGACAGTCATTAAATCTCAAAGTTCCAAAATAGTATTTTTTTAACTCCATGCTCCAAATCCAGGTCATGCTGATGCAAAAGGTGGGCTCCCATGGCCTTGGGCAGCTCCACCCCGTGGCTTTGCAGGGTACAGCTGCCCTCCTGGCTGCTTTCATGGGCTAGCATTGAGTGTCTGTGGCTTTTCCAGGTGCTCGGTGCAAGCTGTCAGTGGATCTACCATTCCGGGGTCTGGAAGATGGTGGCCCTCTTCTCACAGCTCCATTAGGCAGTGCTCCAGTGGAGACTCTGTGTGGAGGCTCCCACCCCTCATTTCCCTTCCACACTGCCCTAACAGAGGTCTCCATGAGGGCTCCACCCCTGCAGCAAATTTTTGCCTGGACATCCAGGCAGTTCCATGCATCCTCTGAAATCTGGGCAGAGATTCCCAAACCTCAATTCTTGATTTCTGTGCACTTACAGGCCCAACACCCTTGTAAGCCACCAAGGCTTGGGGCTTGCACCCTCTGAAGCAATGACCCAAGCTCTACGTTGGTTCCTTTTAGCCACAGCCAGGATGCAGGGCCCCAAGTCCCAAGAATGCACAAAGAAGCAACGTGCTGGGCCCAGCCCAGGAAACCACTTTTTCCTCCTAGACTTCCTGGCTTGTGATGGAAAGGGCTGCTGTGAAGACCTCTGACATGTCCTGGAACATTTTTCCCTTTGTCTTGGCTATTAACATTTGGCTCCTCCTTACTTATGCAAATTTCTGTAGTCAGCTTCAATTTCTCCTCAGAAAATGGATTTTTCTTTTCTATTGCATCATCAGGCTGTAATTTTTGTGAACTTTTATGCTCTGATTCCCTTTTAAAGATAAGTTTCAATTCCAAATGATATACTTGTGAATACATAAAGCTGAACATTTTTAACAGTACCCAGGTCACCTCTTGAACACTTTGCTGCTTAGAAATTTCTTCTGCCAGATGCCCTAAATTATCTCTACTAAGTCCAAAGTTCCACAAATCTCTAGGGCAGGGACAAAATGCTGCCAGTCTCTTTTCTAAACCATACCAAGAGTCACCTTTGCCCCAGTTCCCAATAAGTTCCTAATCTCCACCTGAGATCATGTCAACCTCGACTTTATTGTCCACATCACTCTCAGCATTTTGGTCAAAGCCATTCAGCAAGTCTCTAGGCAATTCCAAACTTTCCCACATCTTCCTGTCTTCTGAGCCCTCCAAGTCTCTAGGAAGTTCCAAACTTTCCCATATTTCTCTATCCTCTTCTGAGCCCTCCAAACTATTCCAACTTCTGCCTGTTACCCAGTTCCAAAGTTGCTTCCACATTTTCCGGTATCCTTACAGCAGCACGCCACTCTGCCGGTACCAATTTAATGTATTAGTTTGTTCTCACACTTCTAATAAAGACATACCCAAAACTCAGTAATTTATAAAGAAAATAGTTTTAATTGACTCACAGTTCCACATGCCTGGGAGGATGTAGGGCTCAGGAAACTTACAATCATGGCAGAAAGGAAAGCAAACATATCCTTCTTCACATGGTGGCAGGAAGGATAAGAACCAAGATAAAGGATAAAAAGCCTCTTATAAAACCATCAGATCTCATGAGAAATCACTCACTATCATGAGAACAGCAGCCTGGGGGTAACTGCTCCCATGATTCATTTACCTCCCCACTGAGTTCCTCCCACAACATGTGGGGATTATGGCAACTAAAATTAAAGACGAGATTTGGGTGGGGATATAGCCAAACAATATCAATGTCCAAAAGACTAGGAAAGGATAGGAAATGAAAAAGTAATCTATAATCTAGATGGTAATTATTTATTTCCTGTCTTTTCATATCTATATTTTGTAATCAAATCCATCTAGCTCCTATGCCCAAACTACTATTAATTGCATATGTATTACATAAATTAATTTGAGCAAAATATCAAAATAATTGCTAGTTTTGTAATACAGAGTACTCGTTCTAAAATCTAGAAAAAAATTAATTATTGTCCTGTTGCAGTGGCTCACACCTGTAATTCTAGTACTTTGGAAGGCCGAGGTGGGCAGATCACTTGAGGTCAGGAGTTCGAGACCAGCCTGGCCAACATGGTGAAACCCCATCTTTACTAAAAATACAAAAATAGCTGGATGTGGTAGCGGGTGCCTGTAATCCCAGCTCCTAGGAGGCTGAGGCAGGAGAATCACTTGAACCTGGGAGGTGGAGGTTGCAGTGACTCAAGACTGCACCACTGCACTCCAGCCTGGGTAGAAGAGTGAGATTCAGCCTCAAAAAAAAAAAAAAAAAAAAAAAAAAGAAGTAATTCTTACTATTTTCTTCTTTCTCATAATCCTCCATCATCTCCATTTACATTTTGGCATTTGTGAACATTTTGTTTCCACTGAGACAACTGAGTTGCTGTTACTACATTTAGATGGATAGTTGTCAATGTTGTTTTGCAACAAAATAAATAAGAATTACTGATGTGTAGTCTAGGATATACTACCATATACATGTACACACATATGAAAGGCAAAAAGAAAAAAAGAAGGTAGAAATAGAAAGAACTACTGAAAAATATATGGCTTTTTTCATTGTTCCTTATTTTTGTAAAGTCATTCCCAGACAGGAAATACAAAATCCAGAGCTCAAGCCTTGCATGCAGAATCAGCAACCAATTGCAACCCTAGGATTCAGATCACTAGGCATCCTGTCACCAGCCACCTGCCTGAGCTGTGAAGGCCCTGGCAGGTTGTTTCCTCACTGTGGATGAGCCAGGATTTATGTGACCTTCACAAAATCAGACAAGGAGCTTACATGTCAGATAAAATGTCTAACCAAACTAACACAATGTTCAGTAGGCAAAAAAAATGTCCACAGACTATTAACCAACTAGAGACATTACCTTTCTTGTCTCTTCTCAATTGTATCTCTCTCATTTAAATTAATGTCCACAATGCTTTTAAATAAGGCTCTAATATATAACTCTCCCTTGCAAAACACACACATAAATGCACGCCATTCTCTGTTGTCTTTATTTACACAACTTGTTAGAAGACAGAAATGCCCTTTTCTAAGTCATATGCTAAAATATATGGGTAAAAATGACAGATTATCTCTTTTTTTATTCAGTCAGGGAGTGAGTGAATATTTATTGAGTTCTGACTTTGTACAAGGTCTATGTTAAATAAATTAAGTACGTATGGAATAAGTTGTTGAATAAAAAGCATGACTTCCACTTTCTAAGATATTAAAATCAAATTAATACGAAAACAGAATCAAATCAAACCCACTGATATGTTAAAAAATACAGATAAACAAACAGGAGAAAAGTCAGCCATGAACTTACCACCCAAGAAAATCATTATTAATAGTTTAGTAATTATCTTTCTACTGGCCTAACCCTCTGTGGTTCTGCTAGTGCCTTGCACGTATGTTCAATCATCTATTCTCACTGAGAAATATATTGTGAGCATCTTTCTGTATCAATAGGATAAATCTCCATATTTTTCCTAATAGCTTTGTAGCAAGCCATTTGATGAATGCCCTGGAATTTATTTAAACAATCACTTTAGTGAACATGTAGGTGTCTCCAAGCTTCTGAAACAATACACAACACTAACATAAAAAATTACACACAGCTTTATGTATTTGCACAACAATATCATGAACATACATTTTTATCAGAGTCATGCATATTTTTAAACATTTACAAAGCTTTTAATCAATACATAATATATATGCAGAAATGTAAATATATCAAAGTGTATCGCTTGATTAATTTTCAGAGAGTAAACTCATGAATAGCATTCATTTCAAGAAACAGAATTTAACTATAATGCAAATCCCCCTAGAGCCCCTACCAGTCTTCATTTCCCCAGAAGGCAACCATTATATTGACATTATACTGATTAGAAAAAAAATATTTATATAAATTAAATGAGAGTAGGTTCTCTTGTACCAAGCTCCTCTGCAAAATATATCTATATTGTCATGCTTATTTGCATAATGACCATTCTCAATATTACACATTTTTTAAAATTTTGTGACATACCAAAATTTACTTATCCAATACATTTGGTAAACATTTAATGTAGTGAACAGTGGGAAATCTTCCAGTATGGGCTATTATGAATGGTGCTGCTGTGAACATTCTTGCACACGTCTTTTGTGAACATATATGCATGCACTTCTGATGGTTATATGTGGAATGTTTGGGTGATAGGGTATATACAGTCAGCTTTAGTAGATTCAGTCTGATGCAGTTTTCTATTGCTTTGTAACAAATTATCCCAAAATTAGTGGTTTAAAATAACAATATAAAACAGAAAAAGTCACATTTCTGAACCCTACAGGCAGGAAAAGTTAGGACAGGAGCCATCAAGGGACCATTCTCACAGTCTCTGTGGGTCAGGAATCTGTGCACACCTCAGCAAAATAACACCAAAAGCAAGGTTGGTCAGGTTTGCGGTCATCTTGAGGATTGATTAAGTGCCTCCAGTGATTAAAAATCTCTAAACCTCCAGAGGGCAGCAATGAAGAATCCCTCATGGCCTCTGGTTAGAGTTCAGATTTAGGTACCGAAACACCTAATAACAATCCCTCATCTTTCTTCATGTCTCATTCTCGTCATCATAAGGATTGCATATATGAAATAACTCCTGAATCTCAACATTTGCCAAGGATATCAATTCTTACATTTTCCAGGACTTCACCTAACAGATCATCTTTTAACCCTACAATTTTAGGACACAATACAATTATATATGTGTTAAAGAAATAATACATGCAATAACGTACAAAGCCAAAAAAACATAATGGTTCAAAGGTAATATAAGTCTATTCTTTCAAAGCCCAAAATAGGAGTCTTGATCAGCAGAGGATACTTGTTCAAGTGGTAATTCAGGTACTCAGCCTCCCTCCATTCTGCACCTCTGCCTTCCTTACCACATTGTTCCCAAGATCATCATGGTTTTCTTCATCCAACTAGTGGAGGATCACTAATAGAAGAGCTTGATGGCATACTCCTGGAGAGTGACACATTTCATTGCTGTTAATCTTCCATATTTTGGAACTAAGGATCTATGCCTAATTATAAGGAAGGCTGGAAAATGTGATTCATGCCCTTAGAAAGAATTATAGTAAGGTTTAGTAAACCAGTAGCCAGTTTCTGCTACACAATGTCCCTATACAATTCAGTTCCCCTTTACCTTTCAGTTGAATCTTTTTAAGACTAGAAAAAGTCACATTTCTGAGCCCTACAGGCAGGAAAACTTAGGACAGGAGCCATCAAGGTACCATTTTTCTTTCATTCTGGAGGTAACTGTGACACCATCAGGGCAAGACTGACAACCAGAAGAGCCACAAGCTTAATGACCGTGCTGATATTCATCCATATGAATGTTCCCCCATCTACCCCATTAAGTTTTTGTTCATTTATTTAACAAGGATTTGAAGAGGCTTTCAGTATTACCAGCTAACAGAAAAACCTATTGGTGCACACCAAAAAAATAGGACAATGGTGAGAGTTTTTACTTTTCTTTTTACGGCAGCAAGTGGTTCACCAAGATCGAGGACCAAGGGTAAAAGTGAGGCATGAGGCTGGCACACAGCCTTTTCTCGGGCAACAGAGTGGCGGCAGCTGTCCAAGGTGCTTTGAAAACTTCACGTGGATGGAAATGGCAGCCATTTTTCTAGCTGTCATGTTTGAAAAGAAACACAAACAAATGGTTATGTTTCTTCCTGCCTGTCTTTATGGTTGCATAGTTCAGACAAGCCTCAATCCTGTTTTAAATCTTAGACTTAAAAAAAAAGCCTCTTGTCACTTTGGATCATGAAACAGTAAAATGTAACATTTGCAAAAGTGGCCCCAAGGACACAGATAGTGTTGAAAATCCTTGAAAATAAGATGAATGGCCAATTCTCATTATTCATTTGGCTCCCACTGAAGACTAATAGCTAAGTAATTCTCCATACATCACATTACCCAAGGTACAAGGCATATAATATGTTAGTAATCTATTGACTAAAATGTTATTTCCACAACAACTTTTCCTCTAAGTTTGAGGAATGAACATGCATTAAAAGAGAACCATATTTTTTCACTATATGTTGCTATAATTTAGGACTAATGTTGCCTAAATGCAAGAAGAAGAAAGATATACGCTTCTTTAAAGAAAGATAAATTGGGTCACATGTACATTGTCTTTACAAAACAATACTTATAATCTTTGAGGTAAAATTAATATCATTATTCCAGTCAGGTTAGGTTTGAAATACATTTAAATGGTGAGAAATTAGTGACAAATCTTGGATGTAAAATTTGTTGACGAGGTAATAGTGTCCGGAGGTTTCTGGAAAATAAAGAAAATGAATATTTTTTAAAACAAAATCCTAGGATGAAGGACCTCCAGGAGTCGCAGTGAGGTTGGGCAAATGTGTCATTCAAATGCCCTCAGTGAAGCCTGCTTAATGCCTACCGTGCTTCTATGCTTGTCCACGAAGGAGTGTAACAGAATGCAGAAGAAGAGGAAGCTCAGAATGATAGAGTGAAAAACTTCAATCAGCTACCGTTCGTCTCCTAAATATTCTCCCTCTAGTGCCAAACCTCAGAGAGTCTGCTAATATAGGAGCAGGAACAATTATTAGGCAATAAATTCTGGAAAGATAGTCTCTGATGGATTGCATCATTGTTCCCAACTACGCTGCCCTTTCCCTGTATTCAGATTACACAGCCTTATCCTTTGTCATGTCAGGTTGCAGTGCCTCCCAGATGGTGGACCAAACTTCCCCATCCATTTGATATAGGATTGACCAGGTGACTGTCCATCTCTAAGAGGCTTTAACATAATTGAGTATATCAACTTGATCTCTTTTACCAAGAGTCATCAGGAGAAAACAAATACCAAGATCAAGATAATTAGAAATAAAATGTTTGCTATTATAAGTGAATAAGATGGAAGGAGGATGATTGTTAACCAAAGCTGACTAACAGACAGTCTAATCATTCTTTTATTTAAAAAATACCCCATGAGTGCTTACTCTATAATTTTACTAGATTACACATTGGGAATCTAAAAACAAACGTTGTTTCATTCCTATTTTCACAGAGCTTAAAATTTTCTTCTAACTCCCCTCCGTCCTTTCCAAATGCCCTGACTACCTCAAAAGTTCATCTCTCAACTAACCCACTAACTTGATCAAATCTGTGTATGGTGCTGTTTTACCTCCTCTGCTTTCATGCCTGTCCAACTTCAAAACATAAACAAATAAGGCAGATAAATCTTCAAAAACATTCCCTCAGCCAGAGATAACTGTGATAAGCAGAAAGCTATGATGCTCCTTGGGACATCTGCCCCCTGGTGTTACCCCTCTGATTTTGTTATATTACATGGCAAAAGGGATTTTTCAGATGTCATTCAGGTTAATTAACAGGCCTTAAATTAAGGAAATTATCTAGGCTCATTTAATAACAAGATTCCTTTAAGAGCAGAGCATTTTCTCTGGCTGGCAGCAGAAATAGGAGTCAGAGATTGAAGCACAAGGGAGACTCAAACTGGCTTGAAGACAGAGGGGACATGTGGCAAGGACCAGAGAGTAGTCTCCAGGATCTAGAAGCAAATCCAGGGCAAGAGACAGCAAGAAAATGGAGACCTCAGTCCTTCAGCCAAAAAAAAAGAATTCCGCCTACAACCAGTAAAATTGGAAGCAGACTCTTTCCCAGAGCTTCTACGTAAGAGCATGTCCTCCCTGACATCTTTGTTTCAGCCTCCTGAGACCAGAGCAGAGAACCCAGGCAAGCTCACAACACACTTCTCCCCTATAGAACTGTGAAATAATAGATGGGTGCTGCTTCAAACGCTAAATTTGTGGTAATTTGTTACACAGCAACAGAAAATTAATACAATGACCCAGTCTTCTAGGGTTGCCTAGTTTGAGCCAATATTCAGCACCAGCCTTCTCAATAAGCAGAGTAGGTAGATAAACATCAGTAAAGTCAGCCACCAAATCAGTATGATTTCTAGGGCCCTGGAATGGCTGTTCTGACCCTCAAGCTAACTCATGTGTGCACCAGTGCCTGAAATCCCTTGAATTGTGAGCAAAGCCTTTCATTATAAAGTAAAGCTTAAAATGGAAATCTCCTTCAGAAAAGAATTTCTATGACTTAAATTTATTCACAATGGATACCACAGGGAGTCCACACTGATAACAGATGCTCTTCTGAGAGCAAGCTTTGACCAAAGGCCATGCAAAAAATCTGCTGGCCTGGGGCACCTTGTAAGGCCTGGCGGGAGGGGAGACAGAATAGAGAGGGAAGAAAATAGCAGAAAAAAACAGTGACTCTTTACAGTGGTGTCCAATTTTGGCCCTACCTGCTCCCCTGACCCTCAACCAGGCTTAAATTAAATAGGTTTGTAAAGTGAAACCTTCCTGCTTTCCCACGTCTCTATTTCTTTTCATCTCTGAAGCAAATTTTCTAATTTACACATAAAAATTCATCCTTCCACCTTCTTGCTTGCTAACAAAACGAGATTTTGTTCAGGTAAATGAGGTGTCCAACCCCAGGCAATAGATGGTGGTTGACCTAAACTAATCACAACAAACCTCTTTACTTCCCTTTTGGTTTTATTTGTATCTAAGGAAGATCATGTGTCTCAGTTCTGGTCAATGAGCCTGTTGGCAAGTGGGGCTTTTTTAAATTGATTTTTTAAATTATTATTTTTTAAATTCTTGTGGGTATATAATAGGTGTATATATTTATAGGGTATATGAGATGTTTCGATACAGGCATTCAATGTGAAATAAGTACATCATGGAGAATGGGATATCCATCCCCTCAAACATTTATCCTTTGGGTTACAAGAACTGGAGATCATCGTGTTAAGTGAAATAAGCCAGGCACAGAAAGACAAACAAACACCACATGTTCTCACTTATTTTAGGGATCTAAAAATCAAAATAACTGAACTCATGGACACAAAGAATAGAAGGATGGTTATCAGAGGCTACGAAGGGAATTTGGAATTGGGGTGAGTTGAGGATTGGCCAGGAGTGGTGGCTCACACCTCTAATCCCAGCATTTTGGGAGGCCGAGGTGGGTGGATTATGTGAGGTCAGGCGTTCAAGAACAGCCTGGCCAACATGGCAAAACCTGGTCTCTACTAAAAATACAAAAATTAGCCAGGCATGATGGTGGGCGCCTGTAATCCCAGCTACTGGGGAGACTGAGGCAGGAGAATCGCTTGAACCCAGAGGGTAGAGGTTGCAGTGAGCCAAGATCATGCCACTGCATGCCAGCCTGGGCAAAAGAGCAAAAATCCATCTCAAAAAAGAAAAAAAAAATTAGAAAGAATGAGTGAGGCTTTTTAACGAGGGAGAACCAAGTGATCTCTCATTCATCCTTGAACATGATCATGTTTTTTCAAGGTTCAGCAGTGTTATGGGCTGAATTATAACTCCTCTAAAATTCATCTGTTGAAGTTCTAGCCCCCCAGTATTTCAGAATATGACTGCCTTTAGAGACAGGGTCTTTAAGAAGATAATAAAAATAAAATGAGACCATTAATGTGAAGTCTAATAAATATGGCTGGTGTCTTTATGAAAAGAGGAGATTAGGACATAGACTTGCACAGAGGGAAGGCCATGTGATGACACTGCAACAAGACTGACTTCTATAAGCCAAGGAGAGAGATCTTAGAATAAACCAGCCCTGCTGACACCTTGATCTTAGACTTCTAGCCTCCAGAATTATGAAAAAAATAAACTTCTGTTGCTTAAACCACATAATCTGGGTATTTTCTTATGGCAACCTTAGCAAATTAATACAAGCAGTTATGCTGAGATAAGGAAACATCAAGAGAATCACAAAGCTGTTGGTCTTGTGTCTTTTCTCAGACATTGACTGAATCAATGCCAGCCACTGACTGCATCTGGGCAACACATCATGGGAGAAAAATGAAAACGTATTTCTGTAGTTTCTAACCCAATGCATTTCTAACCAATCTAAAGCTTCATACCTTTAATCACTTTCTTTTACTTATCAAAGAACATCCAATTACCGATGGTTCTAGGACACCAATACAGTACCGTTAAGAATGGATTTCATGATATGCTCACTGAGATGAAATGTCAAGTAATATTTCATTCTGTGGTTAGTTGGGGGCAGATGAAACATTTTAGAAGATTCTGTCTCTTCTTTATATGAATCTTACCACCACTTCATTAACTTTATGTGATGCCTATTTGGATCTAATAAAAAAAAAAAACATATTGCCACAGGCTCAGGATGCGGTGGGTGGGGAACTTGACATTCAAAAAGGTCACAAAGATCAGGGACTAAATGTTTTCTACTGCTTCTTAGAACAGACCCCTTTGTAGTCTCCCTGATATGTGTGAATCTAGTGATGGTCATGTGTCTCAGGGAATGTGCTCCGTCTCCAAAAACCAGGGGATCATTTTCTAGCAGTTTAGCATTCCTTATTTAAAATGTGGTCGGGCGTGGTGACTCATGCCTGCAATCCCAGCACTTTGGGAGGCCAAGGTGGATGGATTACCTGAGGTCAGGAGTTCGAGACCAGCCTAGCCAATGTGGCGAAACCCCATCTCTACTAAAAATGCAAAAATCAGCTGGGTATGGTGATGGGCACCAGTAATCCCAGCTACTGGGGAGGCTGAAGCAGGAGAATTGCTTGAATCCGGGAGGCGGAGGTTGCACTAAGCTGAGATTCAGCCATTACACTCCAGTTGGGCAACAAGAGCGAAACTCTGTCAAAAAAAAAAAAAAAAAAAAAAAAGGAAGGAAGGAAGGAGGGAAAGAAGTGAAAAAAAAAAAAAGAAAGAAAATGCTCATAGAGCATTTACCTAGATTGATCTGGGTTCTGGAAATCCCATAAGATGAATTGTCCCTGAGAGATTTCCTAGACTTTGATGGTTGGGCTTGATGAATCCACCCATCCAGAAAGAGTGAGAAAAAGAGGACTTTGTGCCACCACTTTTTCTGGATCCCCTACATGGCCACTTTACTTACCCTTGGCTAAGCTTTTCATTTTGCAGGGACTTAGTTAAGGAGACAGTCCCCTGTGAGAGAGACCATGCTTCTAGAATTTCAGGTCTATCACAGTCATCCTTCATCAGAGGATGATACCAACGTGAGGAGCATTCAATAAAATATGTTTGAAAGTGTGGTCATGGGTTTTAAACTGCCTTTAAAAGGAGAAGGTTTGTAGCTGGGTATCTTTATTCACTTTGTTCAGTCTATATCAGAAATATCTCCCCACCACACAGACTGTTTTATATGGAAGATTGAGGAAACATATCAGCACTTCCATATTACTTCGATCTACATTAACATACGTCAGCTGAGACTTCCTCTGTGACACAGACAGAGTTCTGAAATGCAACTGAAGTTTTCTCCTAGAACTCCATCTGGCAGGAAGCTGAAAGGCAACCTTTCGCTCTTTCCCCAATTCTCCTGATTTATAGAGCAACATAATTGATAGGAATCTAGCTCTCTAACCTCAGAGATTTCTTCCCATTGACTAGTTTATCACATGATCAAAGCCTTTCTTGGCTGTCAAGCCTCCTCTTATTTTAGATAGCTTGTTGGAGGCTTTGCCTCTGTCATTTACCAAAATAGCTGTACAAGAAGCACAAGGCTGCAACAATTCCCCTATTCAGAGCTATAGAGAATCACTCTAAATCCTATTTAGGGGATAAGAATAAGTATCTGTATTGTACCTTCAGTGGAACCAAAGCTGATAGTGTCCACACCACATCTCTCTCCATGACAAGATAATCAAATCCATGGTATTATTTTTCATCAATCAACTTATAAGTTTTCCAGCTCCTTTGTTACCATAAACAAATTATTGTGCACCTTAGCTCTTACAGAATCATTAACAAACAATAGATTCATTATGACATCCACACCATTTTGCAGGCCAGGATTAATTTCAAGCTCTCTTTCAATGACCCTTCTTAGCCAGTGTCTAGTGGCCTCTGCATAAAGCATCAGCATTTATCTTATTCTGGCTTGTCAGGTGACCATTTGCTTTTCCATCCTAGCTTATGATCCTCTAATTAGGGAGCTTGTTCTGAATTTGGAACTGCTATTACTGCAGAAAGAGAAGTCACTAATTGCTTTTTATCAAAATGCCAGAGGAATGCAATAAGGCTAAAAAGGTCAGAGCATTTTATCATTTCTCAATCCCCAGAAGGATCAATAAATAGCTGTGAGTGACCACTCTTCTGACAGCACTTTCTTCTAAAAAACAATAACCACTGCAAAACAGTAGAAAGTCATAGATTTTTTTCCTCCATTGGAGATGATAAGGAAGACACTTGATTGAATCTTTGTTCCCACAGCCTAGACATTCTGGTCATATAACCTACTTTTAAAAAGGGTTTGGTAGGTGAGTGAGTTTCTACATTTCTAGCTGTGCCCTTACAAACCATCATATCTGTCATGTCAAAAGCTAAGGCAATGCAATACCCGTGTTGAAGAAATGTAGGAGACCCTGAACACTTTTATTCCACCCTACCTGCCATAGTCCTAGTCCCAGCTACCATAATCTGTCATCCTGATTGTGGTTCTCTCCCTGAACAAGTCTCTCTAACTTTACCTGTCGTTAAATGCAGAGTGCAAAGATGCCATCTCTAAAGTTGTCACCCTTCTGCTTTGAACGATTCCCTGGTTCTCCACTTCTTCAGTGGAAAGTCCTAAATATGACATGCTATTTGAGGCCCTTCATGAACTTCCCCCGTTGTAGCCTCATCTCTCATCACACTCCCTCTAGCCAGCAAGTGATTTGGCATTCACTGAATAACACTGTGCTCTTGCCCAACCCCAGAACCTTTGTACTTGCTACTTACCAGGTTGGAATACTCCTTCCCCATCCTACTACACTTGACCTTCAGTCTCTTTTCTGAATCTACTAAATTTTCCTTTTCTAACTTATCTCAAGAGAAGTCTCCCCGCTCCTCCAAGACAGATGACTTTTTTTTTTTTGATATAAAGTCTCTCTCTGTCATCCAGGCTGTAGTGCTGTAGTGGCACGATCTCAGATCAAGGCAACCTCCACCTCCTGGGTTCAGGCAATTCTGCCTCAGCCTCTCGAGTAACTGGGATTACAGGCACACATCAACATGCCCAGCTAATTTTTTTTATTTTTAGTAGAGACGGCGTTTCACCATGTTGGCAAAGCTGGTCTCGAACTCCTGACCCCAAGTGATTCATCCACCTTGGCCTTCCAAAGTGCTGGGATTACAGACGTGAGCCACCGCACCCGGCCTACCTTCTTTCTTCTAGCTATCTTCCTTCTTCTTCTGTCTATCTTCTTCTGACAACTTCTTTCTTCTTCCATCATAGAAACATACTGCATTAAAATGTCCCCTTTTTTCTTTAAGCCATAAATCCAACAGGACAATAATAATAGAAATTGTTTTCTTCAAAGTTTTATTCGTAACACCTAGCCAACTACCTGGTACATTGTATAAGATTTTTATTTGCTATGTAGAAAATTATTACAAATTTAGCTGCTTCAAAAAACACACATTTATTATCTCAGAGTTTCAGCAAGGCAGAAATTCAGACACAGCCTAGCTGGCTTCTCTGCTCGATTCCTACAAGACTGAAATCAAGGTGTCGGCTAGGCTGCAGTATGATGTAGAACTTGCAGTCCTTTCCCAAGTTTATTCAGGTTTTTGGCAGAATTCAATCATTTGCAGTTGTAGCATTTGGGGACCTGGGTGCTTATTTCCTTGCTGGCTGTCTGCTAGGAGTTGCTCTTAGCTCCTAGCGGCTGCCCTCAAGTTGTATCCACTTGGCACTCTCAGAAGATGTATGTTTATTTCTTCCAAGCCAGCAGGAGAGTCTCCTTCCAGTCAGCTGTTATGGAGTGTTATGTATTAATAACATTATCATGGAGAATGACTATCCCTGCCACTTTTGCCATATAATGTAACGTAATCAAGTGAGTTACTATCCCTGATATTCACAGATCCACTCGAGCCCAAACTCAAGCAGAGGGCATTATAGAGGGCACATACACAAGGAATAGGTCTCTTGAGGCCATCTTATAATTCTGCCTACCACATACATAACTACTTAATAAATAACTACTAAGTGCATTAATGATAAGAGAACTGACTTATCATTAATAAATATAAAATATTTATTGTATTTATTATTATAAAAATTATAAAGCTGGAGTGTCATAATGGTGGGTAAGTTCCTTGATCTCTGCCTCAGTTTCTCTAATAAAGAATAATAGTAATAGGGCAAATAATAATTTCTCTTTTATATACCTAAAATGAATTATTGGAGAAATCACATAAAAATATTAATAGCTACTATTTATTGCCTACTACTTAATAGGCATCATGTTAACACTATCTCAATTAACCTTTAAAATGGCCTTGAAGGGATACTAGTATTATGTATGTTTCAGATGAGAAAATCAAGCCTGAGGGAAATTAACGTGACCTTCCCGAAGTCACACTGTCAGAAGGGAGTGAGGGAGGCCAAGCATTGTACCCAGATTGGTTTGATTCCAAAGCACATGTTATTAACCACTTATCTACTGCATTTGGACATCTAAAAAGGATATACTACATTATATGAAGATGATGATTAGTATTGTGATTATTAATTTGAAAAAGTATTCGTGTTACCAATTAAGGTACTCTTTTAAGGCAGGAGTCAGTCTACTGTGTTCCATGGAACAAATCAGCTCCCTTGTCTGCTTACAGTACAGCCTATAAGCTAAGAATTATTTTTATACATGAACATTTATAATTGATTTGATGATGAGCAGCACTAATTTTGAACCCCAATTAAGTGAAACCCTGTCTCCCAAAGAAGAAATTTCATTATTTTCATTAGTAGATGTGTATAGCAAAAATAATAATTATTAATATATTTTTAATTTATCAGCCAAAAAAAGTGGACATTCCGTTCCTGTTATTTAACTGCCTTTGTAATATCCTTGATTTTGGTGTTGGACCCCAAAGCCTAAAATATTTACTACCTAAGTGACCCTTTACAGAAAAATTTTGCTCACCCCTCCTTTTAGGCAATTCAACCAGTAATAAGCATTGCCAGGCAGACTTACGTGTCTGACAAAGTCTTTCAAAATATGAAAGCAGCACAATGAAAATATCCCCTATCATAATGAAGACTGCTGTATAATTCTAGCACTACATGTTACAATCTGCATTCGTGGCATAGGACACACCATCCCTTTCCAGACTACTCAAATTGGACTCAATTATTTTGGAGTAATTGTCATAAACCCAAAACCAAGAAGTGGTCTTTTGATTCATTTTCTCAAGCACCAGAGTCACCTTTCTCTAGGCAGACAGCATTGTTGCATAATCACTGAAACAGACATACAAAAGGCAACAGAGGTCGGCCCATTCATATTCACTAGTGAGAATTTCCTCTACATTGAGAATGTACCAACCTTTCCCTGTGACCTCGGCAGATTCCTGAAACATAACACCTTTATCCTGACATTTACTGCATCATGTTGTCCCTCAGGACGTCAAAGCACAACAACGGGGTCAGCTTCCAATGTCAGAGTAAATAGCTGCCATAAATGGAGCTTGAAGGGTGACATCTAGCACTCTCATCCCACTCAAACTCTAGTCACCCAAACACTTCATCCAGCTGATGGTGCCCACAATCTCTCATGTAACAATCATTTCTTTGTGCTGAAGTATTTTCTCTTCTTAAGTAGCAAATGTATCTGTGAGGTAGTTGTCAACATCTTATGATTTCTTGACTGAGAGCTTTGTTCACACCATTCTCACAGGAAGTTTTATGCATACTTCAAGACTCAGCTGAAAGAAAAACTTCTCCATGAAATTATCCCTAATTTCCTAAGGAAAAAAATAATTGTCCAGCTTTTATATTGTACATTTTGGATGGATAGCCACATATTATGTGTCGACTATAATTATTTATGTACATCATATTGCATATCACTAAAAAAAACCTTCTATTGGTTTGCCATAGCAACTGGGTTAAAAATCTAAATTTCTTACCAGAACTCACAGGCCCCCCATGAAATGGCCCTGCACACCTCTTTGACCCCATCTGTCTAAGTCCACTTCATGTTGCTACAACAGAATACCACAGGGTGGGTAACATATAAAGATAAAAAATGTATGTCTTACAATTCTGGAGGCTGGGAAGCGCAAGGTGAAGGGGCCCGCATCTGAAAAAGGCAGGCTCTGAGGGCAGAGCTCCAGCACACAGTTCTACTTTAATACTTTTTGAATACCCCATGTTTGCTCCTGCTTCCTGATGGTCACATTTGCTGCTTGTCCCTATGAGAACGCACTGCCCACAGATGTTTTACATAGCTGGCAAAAATTCACCTCTGCTGAGATACCTTCTCTGATATGTTTTATTTTCTTTGTAGTGTCTCTCATTACCTGAAATAACCTGGTTTATTTATTGATTTAGGTATTTACTGTCTGACTCCCCAAAGAGAATGGAATCTTCATGAGAGAAGGCATTCTATTCATCCCGTGCACCATCATATACCCAAGGTCTAGTTTTGTGCCTAGCCTATGGTTAATTTTTAAACAATCAACCAATAACTTATTTTCAATGTTTTTATTGATTTTAAGCTCCTTCAAAGACAGAAACTTTATATTTTCTTTCTTATTTTTTGCATTCTCCACAGAGTAAAGGAGCAAACTGTATTATACCTAGTACATAATCTATAATTATGCCTTGATTGTTGACTATTAAAGTAATTAATTAGTCATAAACACTTTAGATTGAAGTACTTCACTAACATCTTTCTAACTTAGGTCATTCAAGAGTGAAAGAGTCATTTACTATTGGTTTGTCTAAAAACACAAGCCTGTGAGATCTTACATTATTTCCCATAGAAGCAAGGCTTTCTTCTCTGAAAAATACATAGAACTTGTTATGCTCTTTTTATCTGATCTTTGCAAAAATAAACCAGTCCTTATTAAAGATATGCAGCTGAATACTTTCAGAGTGATGAAAAAAATCACACAATTTTGGCAATACTTTGTATGTAGATAATTAGGCTCCATCTACGAAAACAAAACATTTTGAAGCAAAATCAAATTTGTGATTTAAAAAAAAATTTAAATACCCCTTCTACAAAATGCAGCATAGCACCCATTATTGAACTTATCAACACAGATCTACAAACCAGACTAGTCCAGTTTTTCTTCTTTTGGAATACTTTCATACCCAAAGGAGATGAGGCAGTTGCCATAATTATTTTTCTCTCCAAAGCCATCCTTGGTACTCAATGAAGCCTGCAATCCTGTCTAAACGTGCTACCAGAAGTGGTGTAGAGATTGACTCTAACCACAACTTTCTTCAAGAAATTCTAACAATGAACTTGCTTGAAATTGTCGAAGTTATCTGTTCTTGACTGATAGAATTTTCTAATTGTTATACTCTGTGTATTTTTTTTTTAGGGGAGGTCTCTTATACAGGTTTATATATTCTGTAAGAATAAAGAACGAGCGGCCCGACGCGGTGGCTCAAGCCTGTAATCCCAGCACTTTGGGAGGCCGAGGTGGGCGGATCACGAGGTCAAGAAATTGAGACCATCCTGGCTAACACGGTGAAACCCCATCTCTACTAAAAATACAAAAAACTAGCCGGGCATGGTAGCGGGCGCCTGTAGTCCCAGCTACTCCGGAGGCTGAGGCAGGAGAATGGCACGAACCCGGGAGGCGGGGCTTGCAGTGAGCCGGAGTTGGCAGTGAGCCGAGATCGGCAGTGAGCCGAGATCGCGCCACTGCACTCCAGCCTGGGCGACAGAGCGAGACTCCGTCTCAATAAAAAATAAAATAAAATAAAAAATATAAAGAATGTGCAATATATATGTTTGCAAGCTCCACAAGGCCTAGGTGCTAACGAAAAGGAAAGAGGCAGCATGGTGGAAAGAGGTTGGTCCTGGACTTTGGATAATTCTGGATCCAAACCTGTGCTATGACCCTGACTGACACGTGATCTGAGGAAAGTTAATCAACTGCTCTTAATCTCTATTGGTCCAATTATGAAAACCAAAGTTAATTATACTATACAGTTATAGTGAAACGTTAATGCAATAATAAATGATGAGAAACATTCCTTAACATAACCCAAATGATTTAATTACATTCCCCTCCATGACAATGTTTTATAGTGAATGAAGAGTTCTAATGGCCACACTGCTGTGTACTGAGTTGCTACTGAGATCCCAGCACTGTTCTAACTATGCCAGAAGCTTCTGATACTGCACTTACTTTATTACACCTTATGTACCCATGTATGTGCTTATTCTCCATTAAACTTGGACTCTCAAAGGACAAAATCCTTTATAAAGGCTTATAAAGGTTTATATAATAAAGAATTATATGATATATAATTATTATATAATGAGTATAAACTATTTATATAATAAAAAATTCATTTATTCTTCTCTGTTTCTAGCACAGTGAATGGAGTGAATCAATCACTATAATCACTGCCCTCTAGTCTCCTCAATGAATACATCTGGATTAATAATTGAAACTGTGTCTAGGTCAGTGGATGTCTACCATACTCCTTACTTGCAATAAGATTCTGTACTTTCATTTTCAGTGAGAAACAAGTTGTCATTTTTGTGACTTCTCGGTCAACCAATTTCAAGTATTTTTAGACCATGTATAACATTAGTAGAGAGGAGATAAATGGTAGAAAAAATGTTCTTTTCTAATGAGTCACTGGACTGGTGATCTGCTCTATGATGGTAAAAGGCACATTAGTGATTTACATTAAGTAGATACTTGATATTGTCCTTGGATTTTAGGTTCAGAAATTGTTAGCAAATGATGTAAAAATGACCAGGGGAAGCCAAGAGAAGTTATTAGTCATTTTGCCTAAGTCAGACAAAATGTATTTGAAGAAATTATGAATCCAAAAATGCCGACTCCATTACTGAGGATCCTAAACATTCACAACCCTTAAGAAGATGGGTAGTCTGAAGTCACACAGATCTTCAAAATACCGGTAATCTGAGCTGAGAAGTATTGGGCAGAAACATGGACTGAAAGTTCTGCTTCAAGTAAATTATTTCATGATGAATATGCTCTTGAAGAGGTAGGTGAAAACTGAGTATATTCCTAATAGTGAGGAAAATTATTAAAGTAAGGCAGGAATAATTTGATAAATGGGGGCTTATACAGTCTGAGAAAATAAAAAGAAACAAAGACCTTGGCAGAAACTGCAGAAGAGGAGGGCAGGGGCCATCTCCAGCATCAGTACAGGTCTGTTGCACCTATGAAGGCATGTTTAGGGTCCATCCTGCTTTCTTTTAAGGACACAACTATAAAAATTAATATAGGAACAAATAAGTTTTTTTGAACTTGTCCAATATAGTGTCTGATTAAGCTAAATGAATGTTGCTTAAAAAGCATGGGGAATTTATCTTAAGAGTTTTAAAGTGAGCAAGTAGAAAAGGAAAGTACAAGAGACAAGGAGTTTCCCTGGCCCCATTGCCTATAAACTCGTCTTCTCATCGGTTTCTCTCTTTTTGATTTATACCCACTTTTTGGAATGACGATCTCTAGTCTAGGATGACGACGTTTGAGAAAGCTTTAACCCCAATTCTTTCTCAAAAAAACATTGAAAAGACATGGACAAGACATGGACTAACACATTGTTTTCTGTGTTCTTACATTTCTTCTCTTACTGCTTTTATTTCTTCCCCTCTTTTTCTTCAAAAATATAATTAAACTACAATCTGCTTTGGAATTACTCTCTATTCCCTCACGATTCAATTATATACACAGTATTCATCTCTCTACCTTACTAATTATTGGGCCTTAATTCTTCCTTCAAGGAACATCTGAAGTATTTTCCTCCTTCATGGAATTTCTAGTTTATTGCAGCTCAGAGTTCTGCCTCTTCTATAATTTACACTATTTAATCACTTAGCAATAAGATTATATATTGTTATTTTTATAATATATACTATACATAGTATACCTTTTACATATTATAGTTATTATACAATAAATAAGATTATATATTTCACAATATGAAGTATTTGAATTTTTGTATTAAATTTTATGTTTTAATATAGTTACCATTTCATGTTTCTTATATTTATATTTTCCAGCAAACAAAGGCTATGGATTCAATTCTTTGTGTTTCCCACAGTAGTCTGACCCATAGCTGTATTCAAAAACAGACACTAGGCCAGGCGTGGTGGCTCACACCTATAATCCCAGCACTTTGGGAGGCTGAGGCAAGCAGATCACGAGGTCAGGAGATGGAGACCATTCTGGCTAACACAGTGAAACCCCATCTCCACTAAAAATACAAAATATTAGTCGGGCGTGGTGGCGGGTGCCTGTGGGCCCAGCTACTCGGGAGGCTGAGGCAGGACAATGGCATGAACCCGGGAGGAGGAGCTTGCAGTGAGCAGAGCTTGCGCCACTGCACTGCAGCCTGGGCGACAGAGCAAGAGTCCGTCTCAAAAAAAACCACAACGACAAAAACACACACACACAAACAAACAAACAAAAAACAGGTGCTAATTTAGTGATTTATAATTGGTTCATTTGTATTTAATCAGTTCCTATGTTCCTATGTTATTCTATATTGTACCTAAATTGTTATCCAGGAAGATAAAGACTGAGCACATTATTTGTGATTCTATCACTCAGAGCTCCTAAATTGCCATAAGCAGTATTGACTTACTGGTCATAGAGAACTAATATAGAAAATAACAGTGGGGGAAATTAAAGAAATTTAAAGCATGATACAGGAGCCCATTGAAAAAGCGTTTTATTTTGCTTAGTGGTGATAAAGCTGTTTTGAAAGTAGAACATCAGTCTGACCTCGGAAAATCATTTAAATTCTAGTATCCACTTATTGATGATGAGAAAAAATACTGCCCATGTTTAGAGGCCCTAGAAAATTAAATTATGCAGATTAAGTTTACCCCCTTTAGACAACACTGGAGACCTTTCCCCCTGAGAACTGTTCTGCTAGCTTAAATAAATGTTTCTAGAATAAAGAAGTGTTAGCTATCAACAGTCTCTTAGATCTTAGGTTTCCTCGGCCTTCAGAAGCACTTTCTAATACCTTTCTGAACATATGTTCCTCACTTAAATGAGTCTAAATACATTAATTTTGAAAAATGTGTATCTAAATATGGAACAGATGGACACTTTGATGGTGATTTATGAGCAGGGACTTTTCAGCAGTTGCCTTTCTAGTAACCCATGCTTTATCTTCTTCATCTAATTACATGCCAGCATGTGCAAAGTGGAAAGGTTGGTCAGTTTCAGAGAAAATACAAACATATTTACATTATTCTTCCCTGTTTTTCTAGTTTCCCTACCCACCTACAGACAGGTGCTATTAGGCTAGCAGTGGTATAAGGGAACATTGTTAGCACCATGACCTTGAACAAGTAATTAAATCTTATTTCATTCAAAAAATGAGTCCCTCTTTGTGTCAGATATTGTGTTAGACTCTAAGGATGGGAAAATGAGCAAAGCATTGACCACATTTTCATTTGTATTTTTCTGTTTATGGAGGAACATAACTGAGTAATAGGCAACTAAAATTTCTAACTCTATTTCATTGCTGTTTTCAATAAACATAAAAGGATCTCAGTAAACTGTAAAACATTATACAACCATTCATATCATTGTAGCTCATCCATAAACACACATAATTTTCCATATTCAGAATATTTTGGACACAAAGGCCTAAATTGTCAAAGAAAAGTTTCTGGTTAACAAATAAACTTTTGCCTGAGATTGAAAAGATAAAGATCGAATAGAAGCTCATCTAAATTATCACACTCACTAATAAGTTCTCCATTCCCAGTGTAATTTTAGCATGAATAATTCACTTTTAGATAAGATTCTCTGCCTTGTTTACAAACGTCATAATATAAAAATCTGTGCAATGGATTGTATAATTCCAAATATTATCTGCCTCTCCTTCTGGGATAATTATACTTCCCTGCTTCATGGATATCAGGCTTGGTTCTTAACTTGTTTTGGCCAATAAAATGTGAGCAGAAGCGACGTATGCCTCTTCTAAGCAGGAATTTAAGAGTCATTGTGTGTTCCATCACCTTATTTTTCCCACTATCAAAACACCATATCATCCAGGTCAACATATAAAATACAGATAAATTAGTAGAATTAGTAAGTGAATTGAAGAAAGCTGCTTTATAATCAACCAATATAAAAATTCATTACATTTCTAGATACCAGCAACAAAATGTGAGAAAACTAAATTTATTTTTAAAAAGATGTCTCCAAACTCAATGAGAAAGCTTTCAACACTAAGAATATATAAGATTTTTAAAAATGTTTTACAAATGCCCTTTTTACAAGTTAAAGATGTTCTCTCCCCTTCTATTTCTAGTTTAAGAATTTTTGTTATTTTTTAATTTATCAAGTGCTTTTTCTGCATATATTAAGATAAATTATATAATTTTCTCCTTCATTCTGTTAATGCAATAGTTACATTGATTTTAAGATGTTAAACCAATCAGCTGAAACCCATATGAAGAAGAGACTATTATTATCCCTGTTTCATAGAGGAAGAAACTGTGACACAGAGATGACAATATCTTGTCCAAGGTCACAGAGCTGGCAAGTAGTGAAGCCAGAATTTGAACCCAAACGCCCTGGTTCTAGTAGAGATGCTACACTTATCCGTGGAGTTTACTTCCAATTATCACCCTGGCACCTCATCAACTTTTATTAGATTATAAGAAGAATGATAAAACTATTATGTCTGCAATAGCTTTTATGTGCATAAAGCAATCACAGAAACCTATGGATAAACCTGAAAGAACCATCAACTGTAGCAAAGCATTCACCACATTTTCATTTGTATTTTTCTGTTTATTGGGGAGCACAAATGAGTAACAGGAAAACTGATTAATATAGATCTGAGATCTATAATCCTGAGATCTATAAATTTGGAGACTTTATTTCTTATAAAAGATTACAGACAACAAGGCAGCTTTCCTGACAGGCTGAGAAGCATAACTTTTGGTAGAGCCCAGAAACAGGCACTTTGGAGGAGGATGGGTTGCTGCAGGAGCTTTACAATGAATGGGTTGGCTAAACATACATATTCAACAGGTTATTGGAAGAGCTATGAATGTTCATAAAGTAGGGTGGGGGGGTCACGCACATGCACGGTAAGCAAACATGAATGTTACGTGTGTCCCATGTTCACTTTGGGGTGGAGACTTAACATTTAAATGCATTACAGTTAGGTTCTACATGTAAAAAGGCAAAGCAGGGACATGAAAACACTGCACAGCCTCTGTAAATTGGCCAGAAGCAGTCCATGGTCTCCATGGTCATGGTCTGTTGTCAGGAAAAAGTTACAGAAATCAGTCTCTTGTCCAATCAAAGCTACAGTTATGGCTTGTGGACCAGGGAAGCTCTTAGTCAGTGTTTGATGGTGGATGAGCTACAGTGCTTCAACATTACTTATCTCAAGGGTAGTGCTTGTCTAGCTGCTAGAGAAAAACAACAAAAAAACCCTGTGGCAATTAAAACATAGTTTATTCTTTAAGTGTAGGGGTGCATGACTTAACCCTTGCCTGGCATGGCATTAGGTCTTATTTATCATTTAGTATCTTATTGCCAATAAAGAGTCAATTCTGTCAGTCTTATGGTCTCTATTTTAACATTAATGCTGGTAGGGAACTCAGTTTTTAAGGTTTCTCTGGGGTCCCTTTGGCCAAAACGGTGTTTGTTTAATTGTTTGAGGGGCTTAGAATTTTCATTCTAATTCTCATAACACATAGTAAGAGTGCTACATCAATTGAAAAACTGGAAGATCTCTAAACAGAAAAACTAATCATATTATAGTCTTACTTCTTGATATGATTTGGATCCGTGTCCCCACCAAATCTCATGTTGAATTGTAATCCCCCGTGTTGAAGGTGGGCCCTGGTGGGAGGTGATTGGATCATGGGGGTAGAGTTCTCATGAATAGTTTAGCACCATCACCCTTGGTCACAATAGTGAGTGAGTTCTCATGAGATCCATTTATTCAGAAGTGTGTGGCACCTCCTCTCTCTCTCTCTTCCTCCTTCTCCAGCCATGTAAGAATATCTGCTTCCCCTTAGCCTTCTGCTGTAATTGAAAGTCTCCTGAGGTGAGGCCTTCCCAGAAGCCACTATGCTCCCTATACAGCCTGCAGAACTGTGAGCCAATTAAACCTCTTTTCTTTATAAATTATCCATTTCAGGTATTTCTCTGTCCCAGGTATTTCTCTATAGCAATGAGAGAACAGACTAATACACCTCAATAGATATCTTAGTTGAGATGTTAAGAAGCTATTGAATTATTTGAATTTGCAATATGTTGGAATGGAAAATGCTCTAAATACAAATGACTATGAAGGGGACAACATTGATGTGTGAGTTATTTATTGCTGTGTAAAAAAAATTACTTTAAAATTGGTGTCTTAAAACAACAAGCACTTATTATCTAATGGCTTTTAATGGGTCAGGAATTTGGGAGAGGACTGGTCCAACAGTCTGTTTCAGGGTCTCTCATGAGTTTGGGGTCCGATCTCAGCTAGAATGGCAATCATCTAAAGACTTGCCTGGGGCTGAATGATTTGCTTCTAAGATGACTGGTTGATAGGAGGCCTCAGTTCCTGACTATATGAACTTCATAGGGCTGCTTGAGTAATCTCACTGCCAGGCAGTGGGCTTTCCCCAAAGTGATCCAACATAAAGAGCAATCAAGATAGAAACCACTATGCTTCTTTTCTGTCTATCACAAATTCTGCTTTGTATTTTTCTGCAGTGCAGTTTTTTCTGCACATCCATCTCTGTACTTCATAACTTTTGCTTTATTCTATTTATTAGAAGCATCATTAACTCCAGCCTATACTCAAGAGACACTCCATCTCTTGAAGGGACAATTAACAAAGAACTTGTAGACATACTTTTAAAACCCCATAGTTGGCAAATGTTTTTTAATTGGAAGAGAACTCATTTGTGTTTGCCTTCTCCAATCATTCCTATTATTATCATTGAGAAATCTGTACCTTGATCATTCATAAGAAAATACTCAGCTTTTAGAAGCTTACTATCACTTTGTTTCTTATAGTTGGTATTTTTAAAAGAATTACGGAAGAAAGGAAACTTGGATAGATTTAGGACTTAGCATAGAATGTAGCCCATTGTTTAAATCAAGAATTGGGGATATTGGTTCTCTATTTCCTTCTTAGTCTAAACTTATCTTTTTCTCAAGGATAATTGATTTATTTATTCATTTTATTATTCATTTATTTTTATCATTTGTAAGTTTAATTATTTAAACTGGTTTTACACATTAGCTATGTGACTTTTTGTTTGTTTTTAAGACAGGTTTTCACTCTGTCACCCAGGCTGGAGTGCAGTGGCACAATCACGGCTCACCGCAGCCTCAAACTCCTGGGGTCATGCAATCCTCCCACCTCAGCCTCAGGAGTAATTGAGACCACAGGTGCACACTACCACACCCAGCTATTTTAAAAAAAAAATTTTTTTTGTAGAGACAGGGTCTTGGCCTGTTGCCTAGGCTGGTCTCAAACTCCTGGGCTCAAGCAGTCCTCCTGCCTCGACCTCCCAAAGTGCTGAGATTACTGGAGTGAGCCACCACACCTGGCCATTTTTTTAAAAATTGATTTTAAAAAAGAAAGACCCACTTTTTATTAACCACTGCAAATGTACACTTTTCCCAAATTCAACCTCACCTTGAGGTAAGTTGCTTGTATC
This sequence comes from Homo sapiens, assembly GCF_000001405.40. NCBI lineage: Eukaryota > Metazoa > Chordata > Mammalia > Primates > Hominidae > Homo > Homo sapiens. The sequence continues at coordinate 52,975,420 of NC_000002.12, forward strand.
AGTTGGGAAGTCTTATTCTTACTGCAGAAAAATATCCATTTTTCAAACTAAAACCTATTTTTCAGAGAGATATTATATTGGAAAAAAAGGAGAATGACAATTTTCCACCTGTGAAAATGACCTGTCAGTGGCATGAAGAGATATGATATTTGAGCAGAAAACATTTATTTCAACATGTTCCCCAGGTTGAGAAAATTTTCTTCTATCTTATCCTTGAAACACTTAATCCGCATCAAGGACTTTAGGCAGCTAGGATAAAATCTCTAGTCTCTATGTCCTTGACTTGTTTTCAGATATTCAGACTACTTCTCATTGTTGAAATTAGTTTTCTTACTGTTTACAGTGCCTTTTCTCACTACAGATGTGAAGTTGAAATTCTCAAAGAAACGTTAAAACACACAGCCATGCACAATGTAAAAGAATGTTTCTTGACACATCCTAAATTAAAAATTTTGAGACTTGATAAATTAAATATTTTAATATTAAATAAATCTAGTCATAAGAAAATGTGAATGGTATATCATGATCAAAAAAGATGACAAGGATGAATACCCAGCTTGCTTAGTTTTCAGAATTTTAATTCAGATTGAACCTACTTGGTGGTCAATGTTTAGGACAGAATAAAAAAAGACCCAAAATCTAAGTAATTGAAGAAAAATACCTGTCATTCTCTCCCTTTGCATTGTGGCTTAAGGGAAAAAAAAAAAAAAAAGCCTAATTTCATTGTGGTAAGCATAGGGTAAAGAAAAGATCATTGGTATGAATTTTTGAAGTGTCACAAAAGCAACTTAGACAGAAAGACAAACATTTTTCTATTCTAGAGAATCTTTATTGGTCACTGCATTCTAATCTTGAAAGTAATGGAATGAAATCAGCATCACATTTCTTCCATCATTCACCTTTGCCTCTGAGCAACTAACCTCTATGAGATGCTACTTTAAATACAGAAAGCTTTAGAGAAGATGCTCCTTGGCTAAGCACATAATAACATAACTGGACTTCTAGCTAACCACCCTATCAGATGCCCAAAAGATAAAAACACAAGATTCACCTATAGATAACATTAGTCTTAGGTGAGACCTTTAGGCAGTCTAAACAGTGCATTGCAACGGCCTCAACAATGGCCCTGCTGCCCCCTTGAGTGCACTTGCTGAATTCCTTGGAGAATGCTTTTCTTCACAAAGTTTTTAGGGTGAGATGGGATTCTACAGGCATTTAATTGGCAAGAGCTAGAGAAACTTACCTTTCTGAAATTCACCATAAAATCTCATACAAGGAAGAACAGTAAATCACCCCATATGGTTTTTGAATGCCCTAAACAGTCATAAGTGAAAAACCTGCTTATAATTATCAAAGTCCAGGATCTAACGCTATCTTGCATAGGCATAAAACATCTTTTGCAAAGTTTCAATACACACTGCATTTTACAGGACTGTAACTCATTGTAAATCAAGAGAAAAATTCTACCTTGCTATCTTCAGGAATGTATCAAGAGTTTCTCCTTTGGAAAAACTGTGTCTTTGAGTGTGATGTGGCTCATGGTATTCTAGTTGTCTGTACAAGGAATCTGTCAGCATGCATGTGCCGCTGTGGCATTCAGTGATTCTAAGGTTAATTACAGGTACAAGCAGCTGGCTGTTTCAAGATATCTTCTAATGTGATCCACCTGAATATTTAAATATCAAAGAAATAAATAATGTGCTGGTTATTATTTTTAGTTTAAGTTACTTTCCTTTCATTTTTAATTTTATTACATTTAGGGATATGTTTTTATTTTTGTTGAAATTTGTTATATTATGAAGAGAATTTATTTCAGAATAGCATAGAGGCTGTTTCAAAACAGTTGTTATTAAAAAATAAAGTCCAATCAGGGAATGAAAACCACTAGTGAAGAAATTAGAATTTCAGACTGTACTGCTGTTTATTCTGATGTATTGGCATATTTATTAACTGTAATTTGATCTCAACATAATCAGTTTCTCTCTCTCACTGTGTCACTTCTCTCTCTCTCTCTCCTAAAACTCCTAAGGCAATTCCCTCTTTTTCTTTTATCTTTGCTAACTTAAAATCATCTATGTTTTAAAAACTGTATTTCTATAATATGGAGATATATATAGATATATTATATATTTATATATATATCTATATATATTTATATATCTATATATTTATATATTATATATATTTATATATCTCTATATATATTTTATATATATCTATATATATTTATATATCTATATATTTATATATTATATATATTTATATATCTCTATATATATTTTATATATATCTATATATAGATATATATAAAACAATGACAATTCATATATATATATATATATCTTTTTTTTTGAGATGGAATCAAACTGTGTCGCCCAGGCTGGAGTGCAATGGCATGATCTGGGCTCACTGCAGCCTCTGCCACCAGAGTTCAAGTGATTCTCAACCTCCTGAGTAGCTGGGATTACAAGCACCTGCCACCACGCCTGGCTACTTTTTGTATTTTTAAGAGAGACAGGGTTTCGCCATGTTGGCCAGGCTGATCTTGAACTTCTGACCTCAGGTGATCCACCCATGTCGGCCTCCCAAAGTGCTTGGATTACAGGCGTGAGCCACCATGCCCAGCCTATTTCTATAATATGTGTTTTTACAATATAGAAATATAGGGATGTAGGAATACATACATACATACATATATACATATATACATATCTGTGTATATCTGTGTGTCTACATATGTGTGTGTGTGTGTATACATATTTCTACAAATACTCTTACCCAGCAAGGGCTAATGGTCAATATTTTATTCCAAAATCCTTCCACTCAAGGTACTTTAAAGAACAAATATAAAAAACGTCTTCAGTTTGTGGCCAGATTGTTGCTGGAGCCCATTTTTCCCAGTCATCAGTTAAATAATAAACTCTGTCTGGTACTCAGGAAACCAACAATGAGAAGCTAAATTTGTGCCTCCTAACAGATGTTTTCAGCCGGGAAAGCACTGATGCACTTCATGCAATCTTTTTCAGAACAAATCACAAACTTTTTTCAAACTCTGATCCATAATCACAGGCTCAGTTACTAAAATGTGAAGGAAAACAAAGACAAAAAGAAAGCTCATTCTACAGGTAATGCTTCATGACACAGGCTATAAGCAGTGAGGAAAACAGAATATCAGCTATCTGTTTTCCATTCATCAGTGAGTTGTGATTTGTTTTTAATCCAGGCAGATTTGTTGAGTACATACTATAAAAGAAATAGACATAGTCTATAGAAATGGCTCAGGACAGCATTGTCACTATTAAAACTCTTTAAGAATTCAAAGCAGAGTCAATAGCATATGCAGCATTTTAAGTCTCAAAAATGAAGAAAGACAAAAAGATAAGATTTTATGAGTATTGCTAGAGTCCAGACTCTTTTTTTAAGTGAGGAGAAGTTGGCCATGTTGTCTGGTAACATCTAACAGGTCCAGTGGTGCAGATCCCCAAAGTCTAATTCCAGCAATGAAATCATTTCTTTCATAGTCTGTATTTCCCCATGGAGTTCAACCAAAGTGTTCTATCAATAAAATGGCATGCAAGAAACACTATTCCACCTCTCAAGCACTGAACTAGAACAAATATTTATGTGGCAATATGGCCTGCAAATTTCAGCTGGTAAAATAAATGACAGAAAAATACCTACAATGAGTTTATTGCAAGCATCTGGGGATTTAAAAGCATTTTTTAGAAACTACTTCATCAATCTTCAAAAAATCCTTAAAGAATGCCCATTTTGTAGAAAGGTAAAGTAAAACATACAGAAAAAGAAGCTGGACTGCAACGGGTATAGAAAAAGTTTGCATAATTTTGTCAGTTTTGAATCATGAATTTTTACAATCCTTGAGAATCCGACTAGAGGGACTTGGGTCTGTCTTCATCGGTCATATTTTCTGGTACATGTGATATGACTACATTTATATTAGCAATTCATGGAGACTTTAAAGAGGATTCTAATAAAGTCTCTTAAGATATGATTTAATGCTACCCGTCAAGTAAAAATCGTTTTACATCACATCTTTCTAAATAGGTCATGAAGGTCTGTGCCTCTTGAGCAGTTTGGGGTATCCATTTTATGTGTCCTGTTGGAATGTGGTAGAATATGAAAACAAAGGGGGTAACCATATATTAATTTACGCAAACTACCAATGTGTCAATTGTATCTTTTCTTTCTAAGTACTTTGTGCCCATTATGTAGATACAGAGAAAACGTCAAGGGAGGTAATGGGGCAAAGCAGTAGGAAGGTGGACTTTGAAAGCACATTTGGTTACAAGATCCATTTTCAGTGTCATCTCATGGCCCTGAGAAAGTACCACAGGAAAGTTTCTGTGCTAACTTACCAAGATCTCCAGCCCTACAATGAGAGTCAATTTGAGCCATGTTTACACCAGTCACTTACAAAACAGGTGGCAAAAGTGTTTTTGTTGAAAATTGCAAACAAAGAAGAAAATGAAAACACTTCCCCATTTCCCAATCCATCCTCACACCCATGGTCTTGGCCAGGTTGGATGTCCTCCCAACCCACTCAGAGGATGAGTTCACTATGTGGCTCCTCCCTCTACTATCGTAAGACAGACAGCGTAATAGGGTTGTGTGGCAGGGTCTCAAATATCAAGAGTGGGGTTAACTTATTTCTCGTGCACTTTCTCCAAAGTTGCTATATCCTACAGTTATATCTCCTTGGCTTATTTTCTCTAAGGTTTAATCAGAAGATTGAGAGTGGAGTGAAAGACTAATCACTTTTGGCTTACCTTCTTAATTTTATCTAGTGAGACTATATTTGGCAAAGTTTGACATCAAAAAAATTCTTGTTAGATCTCGCTAGCTAAAGTTATCTCTATTACATATTTCAAATCAAAATACACACCTAACTACAAATAGATCAGCATTCTTTGATTTTTTCCAAAAGAAATAATCATAATATTCTGTGGAAAATTCTTCCTGTATTGACTGACATTATTTTCCTCTTTCCTTATGGGCTGTCTGTTCCCAAGGAGAAGGATAAACACAAATACACCTTTAAGATATGTACTATACTGTATTGCAAGTAATCTCTGAGTTTTGGTTTCTTCACTTGTAAAATGGGGAGAATGATACTTCACAGGGTTGCTGTGAGGACTGAGTCAATGAATGTAAAGTGCTAAGTACAGGCATGGACAAGACAGAGAACACTCAATGTTTTTACCATCGCCATGAGCTCTCTTCAGATCACTCTGCTGAACACATTCCTTTTCACCTCCAGATGTATTTCCGCCTTTCTATATCCTGCCTTTGCCCTTGGAGGTTCACCTTGTCTCCTGGCTTCAGGTTTGGGTCCACTAACAAAGAACTCCATAAAGGGGCTGGGGGAAGGCTACCCTGTATCCTCCTCACGCCGCTGAAAACAAACCCTTCTGAATAATTCTAATTTGAGTGTACCACCTGTTTTATAATGAAATCCTAAGTTATAAATTCATTTTTATAAGCATTATCTTCATCAAAAAGTTTAACATTATAAAATAAAAATTGTATACATAATTACCTAAGTTTATAAGGTTATATCCACACAGGTCATTTGAAGGAAGACTCAAACTGGATAAAATTTGCTTCTATTCCATCTCAATTATCACGTAAGTCTAAATTACAGTTTCAGCCAAGCAAGAAATAAACGTACTTTAGCTGATGTTCAAGAAGGGTATGGTTTTCATAAATGTTGAAGATGAGATTTAATATAAGCCTTTACTCTGATAAGCATTCTTTCTTAATGGCTTCTTTTAAAATGACTAATTTGGCTATTTCCACTGTTCATTTTTGATGTTTAAAACAATGACAATTCATTCCTTTTGCATCCCATTCAAAATATTGATACCACACAACTTCTAAACGTTCCAGGGTTTTTTGTTCTTTTAGTTTCAGAATATTTTTATTTGGTATACTACTTTTCTAACATTTATCTATTGATACTATTATCTGTATCTTGTCTGACAAGAATAATATTCCTGGATGAGAAATCAAAAGACTTAATTTCCGGCTCCGACTCTTCCAGTTTGTTATCTGTTGTTACATAGATGTGGTTCCTAATGTCGCTTTCCTACCACCCTGTGCCTAAATGTCCTCATTTGCTAAAGAAGAGTATTTTATGACATGCTGACCTCCTTGGATTGTTTTAAAAATCAATACAAGAGAATATAGGTAAAAGTACTTTGTAATACTTAAAATTATATACAAATGTGAGGACCTTGAACATATATACCATCAAATAAAGATACTCTACTTTATTTGTGTGAGAAAAATAACTGAAATATCCTGTGTTTCAAAGCACATTGATACAATTTCAGGTATCTGAATTAACCGAAAAAATAATTCAAGCACATGTAACTGACAGAATTTTTGTGGGAATTGCTCGGTTCATCTCTACAAAGAGTTTTGTTGGGAGTTATCTATTACTCTGAGTAAATTTTCTCAATTCCTCTTTCCATGTTCTCATTGCTTCCAAGACAAAACACAAGACGGTATAGACAGGTTGGTCTGAAAGATTAGAAAAGATTTTTAAAACATGGTAGTTCAATGGACAAGAGCTAAGAATATTTTACTGTACCATTTTTCTACCTGAATCCATAACCGGGTGTATAGTGTATTCCAATAGAGAATCAGAGAAAAGTGAGTAAAATACTGTCTAATCTGTTTGAAAGGAATACCTAAGGTTAAGTAATTTATAAAGAAAAGAGGCTCACAGTTCTGCAGACTATAGAAGCACGGTATCAGCATCTGCTTCTGGTGAGGGCTTCAGGAAGCCTTCCCTCACAGCAGAAGGGGAAGGGGAATTGATATTACATGGCAAGAAAGGAAGAAAGAGAGAGAGAAGGGAGGTGCCAGACTCTTTAACAATCAGCTGTCACTGCATGAAGGGTCTGCCCACATGACCCAAACTCCTCCCAGTAGGTCCCACCCCCAATATTGGGATCAAATTTTAACATGAGATTTGGAAGGGACAAATATCCAAACTACATCAAATACCAAGAGAAGAATGCCCCCAATTTTGTCCTTGAATGGAACATACGACCCTGTTCGTATATAAAATGAATATTTACAAGTTCAGAAATGCATGAACATATATATTTAGCTTGATATCATCAGAAATATATATGCTATTAACTTCTTTAAGCCTCCATTTCCTCATTCATTCAAAATAAAAGCATTCACCGCAGACGTACCTACTAGCTCTGCCCTAAGAGCTACAAATTCTGTGATAAATTTTGATTTTATAAAGTCGTTAGACATGTGAAGATTGCATTCTAGTAGTGGAAAACAGAAAATAAACTAATGAATGGAAAAGGTAATTTTAGATAATGCTTAGGCCTGTGAGGAAACATTGAGGTGATGTGATCAACAGTGCCTGGCTAAAGGGATTAATTAAAATTGGATGGCAGTCTAGGAAAACCTCTATAAGGAAGTAACATTTGACTTGAGATGTGCATGAAAAGACAGAGCAAACCAAGGAAGGATGTAGAGGCAGAAGATTCCAGGATGAGGAAAAAGCAAACAAAAAGGGCAAAAAGCCTGGAGGTAGGGCTATCCGCATGCCTGCGGATAGAAGGCTAGTATGAATAAAGGAGAACGTGCTATAGGAGATAAGAAAAGCAGTCATGGGAAAGTCCATGGAAGGCCCTGTGAGCCATGGTAAGGGCTTTACATATTAAGTAAAAAGATAAGCTAGTAAAATATTTTCAGGAAATAAGTGACACCCATTCCATCATGCAATATTCATTCAGAACCATCAATATACCAGGAATTCATCTAAGCTGAAGATATTGTAACTATAGGCAAAAATTCCTGTCCTGATCTATGGGGATGTCCTTCTAGCTGCTGTGGAAAGGATTTACATGGGAACACTATTGGAAGCTGTGGAAGCTTACAGCAGTAATTCAGGCAAGAGACGGTGATGGTTCGTCTAGGGTAGCAACAGGGTAACAATTTTATTTAATCATAGGTTTCCTGGGAGCATGACATCCTTTAACATTATGCTGCCATACAGTAAATGTCCCCAAAATTATAACTTTTATTATTACAGAACAGCCAAGTGGATAACTCCAAATTTCACTGATTGTAGGGGTAAAAAACTACCACCATTCATTGGTTCCAGAAGAGAGGAATAGAAGCTGCAAATAACTGGCTATTTATTAAGAGTAACTGGCACAGCTAAGATAAGGGTAGAAACTGACAACAGGAAATCTTCACATTTGAACAGTGATGTCTCAGCACCATTTATTTTTCTCTGGATGAGGGAAAAACATAAAGTGGAGGAATGGAAAAGGACACAAAGGTTGGAGTGGTGGGATTAATAATAGCATCCCAAAGGCTGATGCGTGCATTTATTGAGGACATTGAGGAAATTACATAATCAATTCCAAATTGTTGTTTAAGAAAATACAATACTAGTTAGGATTTTTTTTATCTCTTCAATGGAAAGATATAGATATAGACACAAATATGTGTACATACACACACATGAAAATATGTGTTTATTATTTTGCTGAAACATTCCAAGTAAACAGCAGATACCACCACTGCCCCCAAATGCTTCAGCATAGATATCCTAAGACTAGAGACACGTGCCCACAATATTATTATCAAACAAAATTTACTAATATAATTAATGCATAGTCCATATTAAATTTCACCGTTATTCCAAAAGGGATTTTAAGGAGTTTTTTTAAGTCCAAGATCCAATTAAAATTCCACATGATATTTACTTGTTAAATTTCTTTTAGCTTAAGCTGACAATTCTCTTTGAATAAATTATGACATTGAAGGTTGCAAAATGCTGGTTTTTAAGTATGTCATTTCTTCTATACTTATTTGCTGGTTTTTAAATGATGTTTTGTTACAAAAACATTGCAAATACATTTTAAATATCAAGAAAATCAAAAGAAATTCATATGACTAATTTTTCTATTAAACAGGGAAGATTCCTGTGCTGATTATTTGTTAGTTTTGCCAGCCCAATATGTTCTCTCTCTCTCTCTTGCTTTCTGTGTGTGTGTATTGTTTTTGTGTATGTGTATGTGCATGTGTTTTGTTTTTGTTTTTGTTTGCACCATTTCAGATAGCAAAACCTTAATTTTCTTTTCTTTTATGGGATCCTTACCATCCTATTCATCTGTTCACATGGTTTGGAGAGGAGGGGAATTTCCCTCCTTTCTTTTTCCTTTTTTGAGACAGGGTCACGTTCTATTGCCCCAGCTGGAGTGCAGTGGCACAATCTTTGCTCACTTCAACCTCCGCCTCCCATGTTCATGTGATTCTCCTGCCTCAGCCTCCCAAGTAGCTGGGATTACAGATGTACACCACCACATCTGGCTAATTTTTGTATTTTAGTAGAGATGGGGTTTTGCCACCTTGGCCAGGGTGGTCTCTAACTCCTGATCTCAAATGATCTGCCCACTTCAGCCTTCCAAAGTGCTGGGATTACAGGCTTCAGTTACTGCACCAGCCCCTCCTTTCAACTTTTAAGGATAGAGACATAACCCATGACTGACCAATTAGAGAATTCTGCATCCAAGTCCACAGAACAGGGATAGGCACATGACCCAAGTGAGGTAAAGGGTTTTGTTGGAATTATTAGAAAGGAGATGTTATCTTTCTCTGGCACTGTTAAATGCAGAATAAGTAAGTCTGGAATTATAAATAAATAATTCATAATTACTGAATGAGACCAGCCGATCTGAAAAAGAAGAAAAGGAAAGCATTATCAACACAAGAGATGGACAAAGAAAAGTTGAGGATTGAGGTCATCAGTCAAACCCTTGGACCCAACCACTCCTGGAGCTGGTCTACCTCCAGATCTTCAGCCAAGTTAAGCAGTAAATTCCCTTTACAGAAAACACACACACACACACACACACACACACACACACACACACACACATTGAGTTGGGTTTCTGTCTTTTGCACCTAAATTATCCACCTAATAATACACTTATTAATCTTTATAAAGTTTAGACTGAGTAAGGCCTTTGATCCAGTCTCCTGGATTCATAGGTTAAAAAGTTCAGCTGCAGAGAAATTCTGAAAACACGGAGACTGCACAGCTAGTTAGTTGCAGAACCACAAGCAAAAATCAAGTTTTTAGATTCTCTGTTTAGTGTTCTCTTCTACCCTTTGTTATTTGGCTTCAAGTTATATTTTGCGTGTGAATCATAAGAGTTATGCACTGATGAATTAGATTTCGCCAACATTTGTGTAGGCAAATCAAATAAACCAGAAAAAAAATTTTCTTCTGAAAATAGTAGACCTAGCATTTTCTTTGAGCTTAATAACTCCTATCATTACTGAAGTCTTTAATATCTTAGCAATAGCCAAGTTCAAAATCCTCCAACCAAGAAAAACATAAACTATGCTACAATGTAATTCATGCCATGAAATTTCTATAGAAAGGAAATCACCTTATAATACATTGACTATTATATTTTCTATTATTGCTGTCCGCAAATATATTCTATTTTACAGGGAATTGTAACGTAATGAAATGTCATGTTATTAGCTATTAACAATATAACTGATTCAGATATTTGCTATTTTTAAAAGAAGAAAAATTGAGTACATTTGAAAGTTCTATGTGATACTACTTTTTAAAAATCTGTGATTATTATGATTTTAATTTCCCCAATATATTGTATATCTCTTTTTTTAACCTAAGTCACTTATTTGAAACACTGATTTTGTACATGTTATAGTAATTTTCCTTTAATTTCCCTAAAATCATTGGAATAAAAACATAATATCTGAAATAATCACACATACTCCAGCAATCAGGAAATCCAGTATTTATGTCAGACTCAAGAAATAACACCATTCCTTTCTGCCTGCACTAGGGAGCAACATGAAAATGGCCATTTATTTTGTTTTGTCATTTTCCTGAGCAGGGTACCCACAGGGTACTTAAATAGTTGCTTTCCTTTTTTGCCATCTCTCCAGGTTAAAAACAAAAATATATTCAGCTACCAAGAAATTAAATAGGTTATTTATGTTTCACTTGTCAAATCTATATTTCCAAATATCCCCTGAGCCAGATTTGCAGAGGAGTAAAGGTAGGGTGGAAGATATTTTATACATATTTAATTTGTTATTCTAAAGAGGTACAGTTCTTTTTTCTGTTAGTTTTCTTGGGCCTCTACGGTGTCAGTAATAATGGCATAATCGTGCTTTGAATGCTTTCTATGGAATTCCACAGGTTCAAATGTCCGAGTTGAGTGCCTTTAATTTTCCAGTAGGAGACTGTGGCATACTGGTTCATCTATACAATAAAAATTCTCTACAGTTCTTCCCACTGCTCCCCATCCCAAATCACGCTACACATGTAACATCTACACAGATGACAGATTGCTAGAACAAGACCTGATCAACTCTTCTTTATTTTAGGGTTTTTTTAATTTTAATCTTTGATTAAAGCTGACCACCGGGAACATTTTTATCTAGCAGAAAAGTAGTATTAGAATATCTGAAGGATAATAACTTCGCTTAATTAGATACTTTTTTCTTACATAAATACTCAATCAACAATAGCTCCATGTCAGTTTTATTTCTTGCCCACTTTCAGTATAAGGTAACTTCTGTACCTGTTGTAATGCTGCTTCTCTTGCTTATTTCTAGTCTCAGTTTGGTATTTCTTTCTTCCTTTTTTTTTTTTTTTTTTTTTTTTTCTTTTTGAGATGGAGTCTCGTTCTGTCACCCAGGCTAGAGTGCAGTGGCGCAATTTCAGCTCACTGCAACCTCCGCCTCCTGGGTTCAATCAACTCTCTTGTCTCAGCCTCCCGAGTAGCTGGGACTATAGGTGCATGCCACCATGACCGGGTAATTTTTGTATTTGTTTAGTAGAGACGAGGTTTCACCATATTCATCAGGCTGGTCTTGAACTCCTGAGCTCAGATGATCCATCCACCTCGGCCTCCCAAATCAGTTTGATATTTCAATAGTCAGAAACTACATGGAAGGGAAAGGAGGTAGCTGTTATAGTCTTTCTGATGAATAACATCTTAATCATATGTTAATGCATGAAAGAAAATGGGAACTCTGACAATGCCAACTTTATCAAACCAAAAAAATTCCATCAGCTACCTACAATTTAAAAGGTGTGTTCCACTAATGGATATACTTATGGCTAGACATTCTGACAATGTTCACCCTGAGAACTTCAAATGTCTTACATAAAATATCTTTTTTTTTCTATTTTTTATTTTATTATTATTATACTTAAAGTTTTAGGGTACATGTGCACAAGGTGCAGGTTCATTACATATGTATACATGTGCCATGCTGGTGTGCTGCACCCATTAGCTTGTCATTTAGCATTAGGCATATCTCCTAATGCTATCCCTCCCTCCTTCCCCCACCCCACAACAGTCCCCAGAGTGTGATGTTCCCCTTCCTGTGTCCATGTGTTCTCATCGTTCAATTCCCACCTATGAGTGAGAACATGTGGTGTTTGGTTTTTTGTCCTTGCAATACTTTACTGAGAATGATGATTTCCAATTTCATCCATGTCCCTACAAAGGACATGAACTCATCATTTTTATGGCTGCATAGTATTCCATGGTGTATATGTGCCACATTTTCTTAACCCAGTCTATCCTTGTTGGACATTTGGGTTGGTTCCAAGTCTTTGCTATTGTGAATAGTGCCACAATAAACATACGTGTGCATGTGTCTTTATAGCAGCATGATTTATAGTCCTTTGGGTATATACCCAGTAATGGGATGGCTGGGTCAAATGGTATTTCTAGTTCTAGATCCCTGAGGAATGGCCACACTGACTTCCACAATGGTTGAACTAGTTTCCAGTCCCACCAACAGCGTAAAAGTGATCCTATTTCTCCACATCCTCTCCAGCGCCTGTTGTTTCCTGACTTTTTAATGATTGCCATTCTGACTGGTGTGAGATGGTATCTCATTGTGGTTTTGATTTGCATTTCTCTGATGGCCAGTGATGGTGAGCATTTTTTCATGTGTTTTTTGGCTGCATAAATGTCTTCTTTTGAGAAGTGTGTGTTCATGTCCTTTGCCCATTTTTTGATGGGGTCATTTGTTTTCTTGTAAATTGGTTTGAGTTCATTGTAGATTCTGGTTATTAGCCCTTTGTCAGATGAGTAGGTTGCGAAAATTTTCTCCCATTTTGTAGGTTGCCCGTTCACTCTGATGGTAGTTTGTTTTGCTGTGCAGAAGCTCTTTAGTTTAATTAGATCTCATTTGTCAATTTTGTCTTTTGTTGCCATTGCTTTTGGTGTTTTAGACATGAAGTCCTTGCCCGTGCCTATGTCCTGAATGGTAATGCCTAGGTTTTCTTCTAGGGTTTTTATGGTTTTAGGTCTAACGTTTAAGTCTTTAATCCATCTTGAATTGATTTTTGTATAAGGTGTAAGGAAGGGATCCAGTTTCAGCTTTCTACATATGGCTAGCCAGTTTTCCTATCACCATTTATTAACTAGGGAATCCTTTCCCCATTGCTTGTCTTTCTCAGGTTTGTCAAAGATCAGATAGTTGTGGATATGCGGCATTATTTCTGAGGGCTCTGTTCTGTTCCATTGATCTATATCTCTGTTTTGGTACCAGTACCATGCTGTTTTGGTTACTGTAGCCTTATAGTATAGTTTGAAGTCAGGTAGAGTGATGCCTCCAGCTTTGTTCTTTTGGCTTAGGACTGACTTGGCGATGCGAGCTCTTTTTTGGTTCCATATGAACTTTAAAGTAGTTTTTTCCAATTCTGTGAAGAAAGGCATTGGTAGCTTGATGGGGATGGCATTGTATCTATAAATTACTTTGGGCAGTATGGCCATTTTCACGATATTGATTCTTCCTACCCATGAGCATGGAATGTTCTTCCATTTCTTTGTATCCTCTTTTGTTTCATTGAGCAGTGGTTTGTAGTTCTCCTTGAAGAGGTCCTTCACGTCCCTTGTAAGTTGGATTCCTAGGCATTTTATTCTCTTTGAAGCAATTGTGAATGGGAGTTCACTCATGATTTGGCTCTCTGTTTGTCTGTTATTGGTGTATAAGAATGCTTGTGATTTTTGTACAATGATTTTGTATCCTGAGACTTTGCTGAAGTTGCTTATCAGCTTAAGGAGATTTTGGGCTGAGACAATGGGGTTTTCTAGATATACAATCATGTCATCTGCGCACAGGGACAATTTGACTTGACTAAGCATTCTTTAAAGTACATTTATTGCTCAACATGGATAAAAAGACTTGTCTGAGGCCAAAATCTTAGTGAAAAGAGAATCCAAATAAGTAAACACAGCACTGACGCTTACTTTTGCCTTAGAGCCTTTAGCCAATTTTTGTTGATGTTGAGCTTTTATTTTCAATGGATGGGGTTGGAAAGATGGTAGTGGAAAAGGAGACATATCTTAGGAATTTGCCAAAAGAGTCTAAACAGAAGATCCCCACATTCAATTGGTATCCCAAATACTCCTTAGTGTAAAGATGATCAGAAATAAACCTGCATCTCCCTTTCAAGGGGGAAGCATGGAAAATTGCCTGTATAAAATCTTAGCACTGGGTTACAAAATATATTTCCCCTGAAAATGCATGTCTACAGCTAACTCTCGTTACAGCAGGTAGCAAAAACCTTCAATTCCATAATTTAGCTCAAACTAATCCTAGGTGCTTAATACCCTCAGGTGCTTGTTGAAAGCAGTAGGAAATACATTCTAGAGGACCAACTTTTGACCCACGTATCAAAGGATTTCAAATGATAAATTTTCCAGTAATATAAACACAGTGAATATTCACAAAAGTCAAAAGTAAATAAGACACCATGAGGAAAAAAAAAGCCAACATAAACAAATAAAACTATAAAGACTCAGATATTAGATATTTTACAAAATAGCTAGTATGTTTAATATGTTCCAAGAAATAAAATAGGGACCAGAAAATAAGAGTGAGCAGTAAGAGTATGTAAGATTGCCAGCAGGTTTGAAAAGAACCAAAAAGAATATCTCAAAATAAAAGTTGTAATTGAAAATGTATGTCAATGAACATAGAGACATAAGAATGAAGAAAAATTCAGAGAATGAAAAAACTGGAAGACTTATTTAAAGAAATTATCCAGTATTCAGAAAAGAAAAACAAGAAGATGAAAAATATGGGAGATTAAAAGACATGGAGGATGGAGTAAAAAGATATAACAAACATCTAATCAAAGTTTTTGAATGAGATGAGATGATGTTTCTAAAACTTGTTTGTTTAAAAAACAAAATTTAAACTTGTGTGATAGGAGGAATAAATTTTAAAACTACTCACAGATAGATACAATGTAATGAGGTTTCAAAGCAGCAACTCCCCCATCAAAAAAAAAAATCAAGAATACATCTAATCAATAAATGAACTTAAGAAGAAATTATAATAGAAATTTAAAAATTTTTAATGGAATGAAACATGAAAATATTGCATAGAATATAGTTGAAGTAGGTTTTGACAGTTTTAACAATTATAGACTAAAATGTTTATAATAGAACACTAAAAAGTTGAAAGTTAATAGCTAAGCATCCATCTAAAGAACTAAGAAAACAGTAAATGTAAAAACTGAAGAAATTAGTTCATTTTTAAAATTTCTAATCTAAGTGAGATTGTGTGGTATTTGTCTTTCTCTATCTAGCCTGTTTCACTCAGCATGCCCTCTAGATTCATTCATGTTGTTCCGAAGGAGAATTTTATCAATTTTTAAGATGGAATATTATTCCATTGAGGAATGGAAGAATAAAGAGCAAAAATTAATGAAACAGAAAAATCTACAATAGAGAGGAGCAACGAAACGAAAGACTAATAAAACTGGTAACTATCTGGCAAGATTAATTATGAAAAAGTATAAAAGAAGGCATAATAGCAACACTACAATGAAAAAGAGAATATAACTTCAGTGAATAAAAAGGCTATTATCAATAACTTTATGTCAACAAATATAAACAGTTGAAGTAGAAACATTGCAAGAAAAAAATGTTAACAATATAACTAAAAAAGTACAAATTTTAAATGATAAATGTTTTAAAAATATATAACATATCATGACCAAAAGCCCAAAGCAAAAGAATGGCTCTGAAAGAGAAAGCTGTCCTTTTTGTTTCTTAATTCTTCTTTTCTTCCACAAATATTCCATAATTTGGAGATGAGTCCACTGTGTTTTTTGTAATCTGACTCAGTCCCACCTTTTTGCACCCAGTACACCCAGAATTAGACTTAGACTGTGCTCTAGTTGAGGTGAAGTACTTACTGTCTGCAAATCCCAAGGTATCCTTTGATCCTGGTCTTTGCCTGAGGTATTGTTTCTGCCTGACTCCCCCTTTCTATCTTCAATACCTTCCTTCGTCCTTCAAAGACTTCTGCTTATGGTTCATGGTTCATGATGTAACTCAGATGTTGCCTACTGTAGGAGCCCTCATAATTTCCCCCATTTAACCCCCATCTTGAATGAAATCTCTCCAAAGTATATCCAAAATTGAACAATTTCATGCCTCATTGAGAGCATTTATCAAATGTATCATAGCTGTCTGTTTTCTGTCCACCTTTCCCAGTTGACTGTAAGCTTCTGAGACAGTGACTTTGACTTTTGACCTTTTGATTCCATGCTGCTCTTTAAGATGTAGCAAAGTATTTAACACATGTTAGTTCACACCAAGGTGTACAATAATTGTTAATGAATGAATGCTATATTATCTTAATACTATTAAGATGTTACATTTATTAGTCATGTAATTAATTCAGTGACAACTTTCATCAACAAGAAACTTTGATTTTCCTATAACTTTTTGATGAGAAAAACGTATGTCCACATCAGAAGATAATGCATAGTTTAATTAGTAAACTTAAAATTTGGCATTTGGATTGTTACACTGATGTCTTATCAGTTTATGAAGAGTAAATTAGTTTTCTTAATCAAATTCCTAAAAGCCAGAAACAGGACCATGGTAGACTGGTTGAGATAATGTCACCGGTTAAGAGCGTGGGCAGATAGCCAGATAATCTTTCTTTACATAAATCTCTGCAACTGGAATTCCCTTCCTTCTAGAAAGATTATCAGAGCATTTTTCAAACTAAAGAAAAGGGAACATAAGAAATATTATTTTTCATTATATTGCAGTTTCTTAGGGCTTCATACAGATTTTTTTAATTGTGGGATCACATGAATGTTCATTACAGAATAAAAGAATATTACACTAACTATGGGAAATCACCAACCATCCATATGTAATGGGGGTTTGAGTGAAATGCATTAAATACCTGTGACCTATCAATAAAAGGATTCTTTAGACCTCTTTCACATACTTTTCCAATTGCTTCTCCCAGGATGAATCTATCTCAGGAAGCTCTTTGGTCCTACATGCCCTGAATACTCAGACATACCTTAGTCTTGAGATGACTGTAGTTTCGGCAACCAGGAAAATACCCTCAACTAGGCAGAAATACTAAGAGATTTAGAGATACTCTTGCCTCTCAACGTTAGAGGCAATATCTTGCAGCAATATTGGAACCTATGTTTCAGGACATCTTTAAAGCTAAAATGGAAACTCTTCCTACTCTTTGTTGAGATGTTTTAATTCTTGCAACAACTGCTCAGGTTTGTGGTCACAATCCATTTTCTTTACATTTTTCACTGGCTGTGAGCTGCAACAAGTATCTCTTTCCATTAAAAAAAGAAAGAAAGAAAGAAAGAAAAATTCCACAAGGAATGTCCACTGAGGCTGGTATAATTAAGGCACTCTGCCAGGAACTCTGGGACATATAAAAGAATATGAAACGTAGTCCCTTCACTCAGAGACTTTGGAGTCTAGATAGAGAGACAGAATATAGATATACGTAGTGGGTACAACTTTCAACTTATAAAGTCAAACATGCAAGAAATGTAACACTTCGTTATTTTATAACAAGTTACTTCTGTTTTAAGTTTCTGTTCTACAGGGCAAAAGAAACTAAATCTGAGTTAATTCAGGAAAATCTCACTTTTTAACTGGGCTGTTTTTCTCTTGTAAATTTGTTTAAGTTCCTTGTAGATACTGGACATTAGACCTTTGTTAGTTTCATAGTTTGGAAATATTTTCTCCCATTCTGTAGGTTGTCTGTTTACTCTGTTGATAGTTTCTCTTGCTGTTTAGAAGCTGTTTAGTTTATAGTTTCTCTTGCTGTTGAGAAGCTCTTTATTTTAATTAGAACCTACTTGTCAATTTTTGCTTTTGTTGCAATTGCTGTTGGTGTTTTGTCATGAAATCTTTGCCCTTTCCAGGATGGTACTGCCTAGGTTGTCTTCCAGGGTTTTCATAGTTTTGGGTTTTACATTTAAGTTTTTAATCCATCTTGAGTTGATTTTTGTGTATGGTGTAAGGAAGGGCTCCAGTTTCAGTCTTCTGTATATCACTAGCCAGTTATCCAGCAAGAGTTTTTGAATAGGGAGTCTTTTCCCCATTGGTTGTTTTTGTCAGCTTTGTCAAAGATCAGATGATCATAGATGTGCAGCCTTATTTCTGGGTTCTCTATTCTGTTCCATTTGTCTATGTGCCTCTTTTTGTACCAGTACCATGCTGTTTTGGTTACTGTAGCCTTGTAGTATAGTTTGAAAAGTGAGCAAGGACATGAACAAACACTTCTCAAAAGACATACATGCAGTCCATACGCATATGAAAAAAAGCTCAATATCACTGATCATTAGCTAAATGCAAATAACAATCAGATACTATCTCACGTCAGAATGGCCATTATTAAAAAGTCAAAAAATAACAGGTGCTGGTGAGGTTACAGAGAAAAGGAAACATGTATACACTGCTAATGGGAGTGTAAATTAGTTCAACCACTGTGAAAAGCAGTATGGAGATTCTTCAAAGAGCTAAAGGTAGAAAGACCATTTGATCTAGCAATCTCATTACTGCGTATATACCCAGAGGAATATAAATCATTCTACCATAAAGACACATGCATTGATATGTTCATTTTAGCACTATTTACAATAGCAAAGACATGGAATCAACCTAAATGTCCATCAATGACGGGTTAGATAAAGAAAACGTGGTACATATACACCATGGAATACTATGCAGCCATAAAAAAGAATGAGATCCTATCTTTTGCGGGAACATGGGTGGAACTGGAGGCTATTATCCTTAGCAAACTAATACAGAAAAGAAAACCAAATACCACATGTTCTTACTTATAAGTGAGAGCTAAATGATAAGAACTTAGGAACACAAAGA
Organism: Homo sapiens; assembly: GCF_000001405.40. NCBI lineage: Eukaryota > Metazoa > Chordata > Mammalia > Primates > Hominidae > Homo > Homo sapiens. The sequence goes on from NC_000002.12 coordinate 52,994,670, forward strand.
AGAGAACAACGACACTGGGGTCTACTTGAGGGGGAAGGGTAGGAGAAGGGAAAGGAGCAGAAAAGATAACTATCGGATACTGGGTTTAATACCTGATTGATGAAATAATATGTACAGCAAACCCTCATGACACCTTTACCCCTTCACATGTACCCCCAAACCTAAAATAAAAGTTAAAAAAATTCAGAGAAATCCCATTCACTTTATCTAGAATCAGATGTCAATATCAAGATCTATATAATTCTTCCATTTCCCCAGGAAGGGAGCTCTTACGGGGCCTGGCACCACTGAGTTGGCCAGCAATCAACTCAGGTCACTTCTGCATCATCTCTTACCCCCAGCTGCAAGCCTCTCCAGGTTTGACACTGTTTGCTGCTTTCATGCTAATATCTTTACCCATTGCTATATTAATTGATGTAATTTTCATTTGTAGTAACTTTTTTCACTTGTGAAACTCATTGAAGCTAGACCTTGAGATATCTGTTGCCTCATGGAAGATGTGCTTGGGAAGGAGACGCTAGAGGTAGCACAGGTCAGTCTGGACACCTAGAATGTGGGCAGCTGCTGCAGGCATTAGGAAAGGAAGACATCACTCCTGGCTGAGCAGGGAAAGAAGCTTTTAGGGATGTGATGGGAGTGGTGATAAATACTGAAGAGTGGAAATATGGTGAGGGGTGATCATAAGCGCTGAGGACCGAGATGCTTTGAGAACTTTCTATTATTCTTTGGAAGCCAAATGTTTATATTCTGCTTGATTTAAAGCAGCCCACATTTGGATACGAAGGCAGGTTTCAGTGTCAGGTAGACCTGAGCTGATTTTGGCTCTGACACTTGTTAACTGCATTTCCTTGAGAAAGTTTCATAGCCTTTTGAGCATGTTTTTCATTTCCAAAATGGACAAAAATCTCTACTTAGCCGGAGAATTCCATGTAAATATTTGGCACATTGCCTTGTATAGCCTCTTACTTGGCTCATTCTCCTTCCCTGCTGAGGCACAGCATGCTACAGTCTCCTACAATAATTGAAGTACATATCTTTCTTCCTTGATACACTAAAAGCTTCTTGGGGCAAGCAGTTCATCACTTTAATTTCACATGGTATGCTACTTTGCACATAAAGACTAAATAAATTTCAGTGAATTTGGCTAATTCCCATATTTACAGCTTCTTTTCTAAGAAGGCATGTCTAGGAAGCTGCTTTTTGACAACTTGGAGTTGGTTTCTAACTAACACAACGTCTAAGAAGCACTTGCTGGTTCAGAGCTGTGCTTCAGAATTAAGTTCACCTCACAGCTTCCACACAACTGGTGTTGATTCTTGGCCTTCTGGCCATACATCCAGATCCCAATCCATGAGTTCTACATATACTCACGTAGTGCAAAACTTCAAACTTCTCTTGCCTTCCTGGATAACTACTGGTTAGCCTCATCTTCTTCTCCACCCTTCCCTCTACTCGTCTCTACTTTATTTTCTTCTCATAAAGGAAGTTTTCAATATTATTTAAACAAAATATTTTCTTCCATGACTTGCTTTTGGGCATGCTGTTTCCTCAAGCAGGAAAGCCATTTCTCCACTTTTTTACTATTATCCTTTTGGGGCCTGGATAATCTACCGCCCTCTTAAAGCCCCAGCTAAAATGTTCCCTTTTCCATGGAGCACTTTCTGATTCTTCTTAAATTTCTCACATTTCCCACTGTGCCCCATAGTACTCTATACTTCCTCATTGGTTAGGATCCTATTTGAATGTAATTTTCAGTTTCTACATGTATAACTTCATAACCTTGCAGATAATGCCATGATCTATTCTTCTCAGCAGCCTCTAGATCTAACACAACACTTGACACACAGCACCTGTTCAACCAACATGGAAAAAATAATAATAGCTCTGCCAGGTATGAAGGCCGCCACTGAAGGACCTTTGCATCTGCACAGCTCAAGGCCTTCCCAGATGCAAAATTCTTATTCCACTTTGTTTCTATATGTGTGCAGAGCCAATGTCTCCTCTTTTACTCTAATCATCTCCCCGCAGCTCCTGTTCTGCACTTCATCAGTATTTGTCTACCCTATCCCTATCCCTGTATTCTATACTTTAGGATAGGATTGTCCCTAGCCACCTAGAGTTCCATCACACATTCAGGTATGCCATTTTACTTTGTTGTGCAGCAAAACTTCATGATCTTTAGCCTTATGGAAGAAGAAGTAGTAGAAGGAAGAGAAGGAAGGGAGGAGAAGGAAGAGAGGAAGAAAAGCAATTTGTAATCAGAGCAGATAAAACCTCCAAAGTTCATTACTCTGAGTATGTACAAGATAATTTTCTGGGTGCTAGAAGCCTTACATGCTAAGTGTCTTAGGGCACAGTGTTTCTTAAAAACTAAGTGTCTTTCCAAGCTCCTGCTTATCCACGTCTAAAAAACAAAAGGCTCTGTGAGAGAAGAGCTCTTTAAGCTTTTGTCCCAGGCTGAGCATTTACTTGTACCAAGGGCTGCAGTATAGCTTCTCACACAGTGGGGCTTTCCACATTGGGACAAGAAGAACATAAAAACAAAAAAGTAATTTAGCCTGCTTATAATTTACTGTATTCCTCCAGTGATTGCTAATCATCAGAATTCGTGTGTGTGTGTGTGTGTGTGTGTGTGTGTGTGTGTATGTGTGTGTGTGTGTGTGTGGACAAACCGTCTCTAGCAGCCTCACTTTCTCCTGTTTCTCCATCCTGAAGTCAATGCACAGCACATTTCAACTGTGGCACAAGTTCAGGTCAGAGCAAATTCAAGGATTCAAGTTCCATGCCAGGTTTCTCTTGCCCACGAAAGCAGGAAGCTGTGGCAGGGAAAATTCACGTTCAAATCCAATGCTGTTGCTGCATAATGGATAGGAAAAGGACAACAAATTGTGGAAACTAAGACTGAAAATGGTTTCAAGCTGGAAGGCTGTTTGTTTACACGTACCTTACTTGGTTTTTTCTTTCGATTCATGATTTTCCATATTGATTATTAAGAGAAGCCACTTTCTTTTCTCCAGGGAAAAAGACCTGGGATGTATAGTTTTTCTTAGGGAGGGGTTTGTTTTAAAGAAAGTGGCATGAAAGGAAGAGAAGGGTAAATTTTAGGAGCACTAGAAAAGCCTTCTAGCTACTAGAATGACTTTATCTTCTTCATTTAATGTTTCATTGCGGAAAATGTTATATTCCACAATGGAAAATTTTCCAACCTGAAGATTTCTGAAAGAAACAAAGCGATGTTATAAATTTACACTCTCAAATGTAAATAGTTCCTGACAGAGCCATCCTTCAGCATAGATGTTAAAGAGAATAGAAGTTATTAGTCACAGGGATAAGAGGATCAAGGAAAAGAATACATTTCTCTGACTGAGGGCCCTCCAAAAGTAAACCAAACCACTTTGCTGAGTCAGTGGGCCACCAAGAGCCTGATTTAGGACACCATTTTTCCTGTGCCACAAATCACAGGATCTAAAAAAAAAAAAAAAAAAGAAAAGAAAAGCTGACTTTTTAAAATATAATTTTTCCCTTGAAAAACTAAATGTAAAAAAGAAGAGTTTTTCTCTTTTTCCTATGACTGCAACTACTTTACCACAACGCCAGTGGGTAGAGCAAGAAAAAATAATTTTCAGTTGTGGTAAGCACGCCAAAACGATTTACAAAGAAAGATTGCAAAACATAATCACTGTACATTCTGACGGATAAGTGAAAAAAGTTCTGGAATTTTCTTCAATAGAAAATGTTAAGAGGACAATATATTGTCAATTGGTAAGGTTCTTTTTGGGGAAAACTGAATACAGGCAGCAACATAAATCCAATGATTTAAGATTTCTATCTCAACACATTTTGAAAATCTCCACCTCTATGCTTTTATCATTTTAAAAATTAAAATTCTTCTATTTTTCAAAATGTATCTTTTTCATAAGTTTATTCTTATTCTATTCTTTTTATAAAGATTTAATTGCTTACTATAGAGCAGTAGTACTCAGATTTTAGTGTGTAAAAGAAAGAAGTGAGGGGCTTATTTAAGAGAGACATTCGGAGGCCTGATGCCTAGAGAGTTTAATTTTAAACTTTCTGGAATGGTCCAGAAATCTATATTTTATTAGTTATCCAAGTGATTCTGAAGGAAGCAGTAAGATCTACTTTGAAAGGTCCACTTTGAAAGCATAACTGATTCCTCTGAACTCCTTAAAAGAATGGAGAGGAATATCTTAGAGTCATAACCTACTTAAGACTAAAACTTTTAAGAAGGCAAATCCTCAAGACCCACTTGCCCGATTTTCCAAATAACAATTTCCAAAAGGTAGAGGATACAGGTCAATGTGACTTGGCTATCTGTATTTACTGATCGATAATTACCAAAGTTAGGCCCCTGTCCTCACACAGACTGGGAAAGAGGGGCTCTGTCTGTCTTGATGATGGCCTGTTAAGGGGATGGCTCCCAGACTTTTTTCTTTTTCTTTTCTTTTTTTTTTTTTTTTTTTTTTTGAGATGGAGTCTCGCTCTGTAACCCAGGCTGGAGTGCAGTGGCATAATCTTGGCTCATGGGACCTCTGCCTCTGGGGTTCGAGTGATTCTCTCATCTCAGCCTCCCGAGTAGCTGGGATCCACCACGCCTGGCTAATTTTTTGTATTTTTAGTAGAGACGGGGTTTCATCATGTTGGCCAGGCTGGTCTCAAACTCCTAACCTCAAGTTATCTGCCTGCCTCAGTCTATGAAAATGCTGGGATTACAGGCGTGAGCCACCATGCCCGGCTGGCTCGAGGCTTTCGAGAAAGACATTCCTGAGTTGTAGAAAATGTACAAAAGGGTAGAATTTACAGTTGTAAATTTTCTCAGGTAAATGTTCTAAGAAAATGGAGATCAGGTATTTAAAGTGAGGAAGAACCCTGTCTAGAGTTTAGTCAAGCTGAGAGGCCGTAAGACTGCCTTTGTCACCTCTGCCTTCCTTATGGCCTGTGCCCTTTGCCTCCCTACTCTGACAAGAAACCAACTCTGCCTACATGACTGTGGTGCTTAGGTTCCTCTCCATTTCTAAAAATTTAATTTTTAAAATTTATTGATGCACAATAATTGTACATATTTATGGGATGCAATCTAATGTTTCAAGACATGTATATATATATTATAATGTCAGATGGTAGAACGTGAGAGTAGAATAATGATTACCAGAGGATAAAGAGGGCAACAGGAAAGGGGGTACTGGGAGAGGTTAGTCAATGGGTACAAAGTTACCACGAGAAAGGAAGAATAAGTTTTGGTATTCCATTGTGCAGTAGGGTGACTACAGCCAATAACAATGCAGTGTGTAATCTTTCTCCATTTTTAAGAAGCCTTAGAGTAGTGGCCCGGAGCTTCCTACCCTGCTTCCTCAGCTTCCATTAATTCTTCTTAGCAGAGAAAATCTCCAAAAGTGGAATTTGCCTACTCAAGAGTGACAATGAATAATCGCTGTTAATGATGAGTGCTTTACCAGCAGATCTTTAACCTCCATACAGTTGAGTAAATTAAACTTGGAGAGTTTCTAATGAAGAAAATTTGAAAGCTAATGTACTACATGCTGCCTAAAACTGCTGATTCTGTGACAACAGCAGATGATCATTCTCTGCTGGTGCTATTCAGTGTCTGCAGTAAGATATAGACCACACTCTTCATATAATCACCATAATGTCTAGAATAAATGGAGGATATTTTACTGATGACAGATGTAACTTTTCTTGCAGCTCCTTCAAAGAAGATAAAAAGGTTTTGGATTATTACAAAATAATATTTAAACAATATTATTTTTTTATATATAATATGAACAGTTATATAACAGTCTTGGTAGAATGGCAGGTTGAAGGCAGCAGGTTCAAATGCCAGCTGGCTAGCTGCAAAAGGAACAAAAAACAAAAAACAAAAAACAAATTATTATAAACCACTAGGAAACCACGACTGTCAAAGACAACCTCAGTCAGCTGAGAAAAGTCCAATTTCTAGAAATGTCTTTGTGCTTCTTCTCCTTTTACTGGAGGTTTCTTTCTTGCAGAAAAGTAATAAAATGATTATGATTTGAGATTGAGATGAATTATCAATTCATCAGGGTGTATGTTTAATGTGATATACTTGCACTAATGGTATGTGCTTTTAATTAGAGAGCTAGTCTCAAGGCAAGAGAAAATTCATTTTCCCAATAAAAATATTTTATACCCAGGATATGGTACCTTAAAAACCTTAATGAACTCTGAGGCTGACATTACAGCAATTAAAATATGAGTGAAAAAATAAGTCTGTCTTGTTGGAAAATCTGGATGATCAGAGCTATCTTCCTTATCACATGGAACATAAGTCACATTTTACATTGTTTGCAAGAATCTGCAATTTACCACAGGGAAAAACAAAGCTAATTTTCTCTTTTTTTTTGAGACGGAGTCTAGCTCTGTCACCCAGGATGGAGTGCAGTGGCGTGATCTCGGCTCACTGCGAGCTTCACCTCCCGGGTTCATGCCATTCTCCTGCCTCAGCCTCCCGAGTAGCTGGGACTACAGGCACCCACCACCATGCGCAGCTAATTTTTTGTATTTTTAGTAGAGATGGGTTTTCACTGTGTTAGCCAGCATGGTCTCAATCTCCTGACCTCGTGATGCACCCGCCTGGGCCTCCCAAAGTGCTGGGATTACAGGCGTGACCCACAACACCCGGCCTGAAAGCTAATTTTCATAAAGTGACAATGGGCCTCTCCAGCTCTGGCTGATACACAAATATTGTTTTCACTTAGGAACTGAGTATTTCTTGAAGCGGGTTAATAAGGGTTTTACAGAAGGCTGGTGAATTATCTGGAGGCAATTTTACAATTTAGAGAACAAGTGATTATGTCTATTTAGTGATGAATGGGGCAGAATTGACATTCTCAAAAGACAGGGCAATAGGATTCTAGTCAGTAAGCTTTGCTCAGTGGACGCTTTCACCTGGAGTTTTAGAGAAACTAGCTAAGTACAGTGACTTTTCTACATGTCAATATGATAAATATTTGTTAAATGTTACTGTGTAAACAGCACCCAATTAGTCACTGGTACACAATTTGCTTCTCTCGTTCACCTGTGTCTCAGTAAATATCACATTCATTCACCTGGCCACTCAAGCCGAAGCTTCAAAATTGTCCTGTGTTTTTCTTTTTTAAATTTGTAAAAAATACGTGTGGGTGCATAGTAGGTGTATACATTTATATGGGCTATATGAGATATTTTGATACAGTCATGCCATGTGTAATTATCACGTTGGGGTAAAAATGGAATATCCGTCTCCTCAAGCATTTATCTTTTGTGTTTCCAACAATTAATTATACTCTTTTAGTTATTTTTAAATGTACTAAATTATTTTTTACTAGAGTCACCTGTTATGCTAGTGAATACCAGTTCTTATCCATTCTAATTAATTTTTTGTACCTATTAACCATCTCCGCTTACCTCCCAACCGCCCCCACCACACCCCACTACCCTTCCCAGCCTTTCCATAACCACCCTTCTACTCTCTGTCTCCATGAGTTCAAATGTTTTAATTTTTAGTTGCCACAGAGAAGTCGAATGTATGATGTTTGTTGTTCTGTACCTGGTTATTTCACTTAGCATAATGACCTGCAGAGTTGCCCTTAACCATAGTTGTCCTTAATCCTCCCTCCCTTCACACTTGCATATCCAGTATATCAGCGAGCCCTATTGACAGTGCCCTCAAAATGTAACCTGAATCTGTGCAGTTCTCCCTAGTGCCACTGCCACCAGCCCAATCCAAGCTACTAGTATTTCTAATCCAGGCTACACTAATAATTTGCTTACAGATCTCCCTGTTCCCATTCTTGTTCTTTCTTTATAATCCATTCTCTACAGTCAGTGGAATTGTTTTAATGTCATAAATCAGATCATGCCACTACTCTGCTTAATACCTTCTAAAATTTCCTTTTTGCCTTTAGGATAAAATCTAATCTTTGTATCAGGTCTGCATTACCCCACATGATCTGACCCTTGCTCACTTCTTCAATTTTATCTTGTGCCGTTTTCTCATTTCTCCTTTGCCTCATTCATGCTGACCTTTCAATTCCTAAAACACATTAAGTAAGTTCCTCTCTCAGAACTTTTGCTAGATAATGTCCTAGCCTAATTCATGATGGGGTGCCCCTTTCCCATCATTCAAGTCGTAGAGCAAATGTTTCCCTCATAGGTAGTTATTCCCTAATCACCTTATCTTCTTAAATATATACTTAAAGACACCTTCAATCACTGGGTTTTTTCCCTTCAGAACATGAATAACTACCTATAATAAGGTTATTTACTTGTTTGCTTTTTTGTCTTTTTTAGTGAAAGACTTTTGTCTTTCACTAAATTTTAGGAGCCGAGTTCTAATCTGTTTAATTCACAGATATTTCAAGTGCCTCAAATGCTGCATGGCACATATGAAGTCTTCAATAAATTTTACTGACTCAATTAATGAAGTTGGCCTATAATAAATAGAAAGCCTAAAAGAATTATTCAGAAGGCAAGCATCACGTTAAGGTCAATCTGACAGCCTAACTCCCTACATACCTGGTGTTGAGAGGCAATACAGAGGTTAAGAAACCCAGGCTTGTTTGTTTTCATTTCAGTGAAAACGGGACAAATAAATAGGATAAATGGCATGCATCATGTATTAAATGTCCCTCTATATAGCTCTTTAGTCCCTTGTGCTAATGTATCTATACATACAATTACTGGGTCAAAATGCACTTGAATAGTAAATTTGTCACAGATATGATCAAATTGTCCTCAAAAGAAAAGGCGTTCTCACAAATGTATGGACTATTTCTGGATGGATACACAAAATGTACTAAGATTACTAGTCTGTGAGCTGTCAAACTAGGGATCTGGTAGGGGAAAGATGTTGATTCTTTCACTGTATGTTTTCCTATTATTTCATATTCAAACCCAATATATTACATATTTTTTAAAACTTTTAAAACTGCCTGACTCTTTTGAGACCACTCCCTATAACCATATGGAATATTCTTTTGTGCATCTTTGGAAGCCCACCCTCAGCAAGCCTGGCATACGGGACTCTATAGAGGAACTGCACTGGTACTACAAAAGTTCTTGCCTTGGGCTAGTCACCAGCTTCGTGTTATGAAATTAATATGTTGAGGACCTAAACCCTGATGTGATGGTATTTGGATATGGGGCCTTTGGTGGAGCCCCCATGAGGGGATTAATGCCTTTATAAAAAGAGGAAGAGTGAGATCACTCTCTCTACTGTGTAAGGACACAGTAAGAATGTGCCATCTGCGAGCTGAGGGCCCTCACCAGAGCCCGATTATGCTGGCACTCTGATCTTGGACTTCCAGCCTCCAGAAGGGTAGAGCTGCCACGAAATAAATTTATTTTGCTCAAAAGAAAAATCAACTCCTCCAGGCTTTGGATCCAGAAAAGCTGAAGTCCTAGTTCTGACACATGCTAATCGCTGCCCTTGGGACAAGTTGTGAAACTTTCCAGAGACTCAATTTTCTCATTTGCAATATAGAGATGATAGTATCTGCTTCATTGGATTACTGATAATTGAAAGAACTGATAGTATATAAAGTGTATAGCACAAAGTTTTACATTAAGAGCTCTGAAATTATTATTATGTGACTATTATTCCATTTTTCTAATGTTTCCAACATTCTTTTCTACCCTAACCATCATTAAGTGATGTTAACTAATCCACAAGAGTTTCCTGTGTACACATTGTTGTGATGATGGTGAAGATGGAATGAAGAGAAGAAAAGTAAAAGGAAGCTTTTAGAAAAGCTGGAACCAAGATTCTGCTTCAGAAACCACTGCCAGCTCTGTGGAGCCTGTCAAGGGCAGTGGATCTAATCTTTATTGAAAAGAACTTCAGGCAAACCTCCTGAAAGCGACTGTGTGTCCCCTCAGTCTCATCCCTACATTGAGAAAATTGTGCCATCGGTTCTTTCTCAGATGCTGACAGCTTATTGTATGGGGCTATTAAGAGAGTAACCAAGGCAGAGACAGACAGGAAAATGACAGGACGCTCTTTATGATACAACCAGAACTAACTGCTTCCCAACACAGAGGCCCATGTGGAAAGGCAATGAATTAAGAATAACCTTTGCAAGATCTATTTTTAAAGAGCAGGAAAACTAAAACCAAAAGCTTCAGGGGTTTTTTTTGTTTTGTTCTGTTTTTTCTTGAGATGGAGTCTCACTCTGTCACCCAGGCTGCAGTGCAGTGGTGGTGCAATCTCGGCTCACTGCAAGCTCTGCCTCCCGGGTTCACGCCATTCTCCTGCCTCAGGCTCCCGAGTATCTGGGACCACAGGCCCCCACCACCACACCTGGCTAATTTTTTGTATTTTTAGTAGAGACAGGGTTTCACCCTGTTAGCCAGTATGGTCTCGATCTCCCAACATCGTGATCTGCCCGCCTCGGCCTCCCAAAGTGCTGGGATTACAGGTGTGAGCCACCGCCCCTGGCCTTTTTGAGATGGAGTCTAGCTCTGTCACCCAGGCTGGAGTGCAGTGGTGCAATCTTGGCTCACTGCAACCTCTGCCTACCAGGTTCAAGCAATTCTCCTGGCTCAGCCTCCCGAGTATCTGGGATTACAGGTGTCCACCACCAAGCCCAGCTAATTTTTGTATTTTTAGTAGAGACACGGTTTCACTGTGTTGGCCAAGCTGGTCTCGAACTCCTGACCTCATGATCTGCCCGCCTCGGCCTCCCAAAGTGCTGGGATTACAAACGTGAGCCACCGCACCCAGCAAGCTTCAGGTTTTTTATCGGAAATAGTTACAATTTGTAACCTTGTAGGAGACTACCTTAACAGTCATAACCATTAGTTCATTACACAAAATACAGGTTTGTTGGTGGGAAATGGTTCAGTTGGTGCTTTCCTGTTACTAAGTTGCCGACACCATCCCTCCAAATACGGAATCTATAACTTGACAGTGATGGAGGACAAGGGCACTCAAAGCTCAGCTCCCTCCACACTGGTTGCCATGACTACAACCTCATGGACCCTTCATTTCACAACTAGGCAACGTCCACAGCTTTTGAATCAAAACTAGCTTATTCCATTTTCATTTGAGTCAGATCTAACTGAATTCTTACATGCCTTGTCAAAAACAATAGTTTTGCTCTTAGTATAACATCATGTTTTGTTTAAAAAAACAAGCCCCTTTTTGTCCCCAAGAGTCTATTATAGTTCTGCCTCCCAGAGACTGAGAAAATACATCATTGTATGACCTGTAAAGTCTGAATTGCTTAAAATCAGCTACATTTTTCAGGCCATCTTAGACATAGGTTACCATACAAACTTTGTACAGATACTCAGAAAGTACAGATTTTGCATTTCCATTTATATTTAAAAACCACAACCATGACGCAAAGATTCTTTTAAAATCTCATCAAACAATACTTTTTAATACCAATCCCTTTTGTCTCTATCTGGACATGCAAGGCACTAACCAGAATAGAAAAATACGTTTCAATTCCATGAAAGTACAAATAAGTGAAATAAATCTAGTATAGCCAGTTCTTGGCCCTCACCAGTACCTGTGCCACCACACCAGCTATGAAGTGCCATAACTTTGTTAATCCCGTAGGCAAATAAAATAAATACACCACCAAGATACCTCCAAACTATTGCTCCTAGTACAGCAGAAAGAGGAGAGGTACTGAATTATTTTAAAACCAAAAATTTATGCATCTCTTTACTCATTCATATACTTAACAATTGCTTGTAGATTATCTACTATGTGCCAGGCACTGAACTGAGTCTGGGGCATGGTTCTTTATCGAAAGAGGCATACAGTCTATTCTAAAATTTGACCAGTAAGCAAACTTAAAACTGCCCATGATAATAGCTAAAATGAGGCTTGAGGAAGAAAAATACTGTGATAGCCCAAACATACAACCACAAGAAAAACCAGGAATTTGCACAATGGGTGTTTGGGCTGATTTCTGAATAGAAAATTGGGGTTTGGCCAGTGGAAAAGGAGTGAAGGGCTACTTCAGATGAGAAGCATATGCACGGCCAAGAGGTGTGAAGCAGTAGAGTGTACTCACTTCCAGGGGCACTGAGTGATACAAGTGAAGATTCAGCAGGATAAGTAGAGATGCCAGGTCACAGAGGTCCTGTGTGCACACAAATACAAGTGCTGAGGACCAGACAGTGGAGAAACTTGGGAAGTGATGGGATCTGATTTGTGTTTTAGAATCACGATCCTTTGTGTAGAGGGTAAGACATTATAAGGATACACTGGAGTGGGGGAAGTCGCGAGCCAAGGAGTTATTATAATAGTCCATGTGAGAGGTGATAGGGGCCAGTTCAGATGGGGATGAAGAGGAGGTGACACATGCAAGAAATATTCAAGAAATACAACTAATAAGAATTAAATAAATAAGCTAGAGGGAGCAAAGGAAAAGGAAGCAATGATGACACCTTGGCTGTTGAGTTTCAGTGTTCCTGTGAATGATGGTACAATTGGTTGTACATTAAAGGTGCAATTATGACTCATCTAGCACAAGTTGAACTTCGAGATGTCGAGGATTAAAGATAACATACTGGATCTCAGTAGAAAACTTTGATCTAGGGACACAGATGTAGGTGTTATCAAATGTAACTGATACTGAACTTCAAAATGAAGAGAAGGAAAAAATAAGGACTAAAGTCTGCAATATTAGGTTCACTGTTATTAAGGAAGTCAAAAGAGAGAGAAGATGCAGCAAAGGTTACACAAGGCAGTTAAGAGAAAAAAATAAGATTAAATAGTGAGAAAGAAAAGCAGTTAGTACTCACATTCAGGATATCTCAAACCTGCTATGCCACTGTCATTAATTGTGATGCGCACATATCCTGTGTTACCACACTTAATGCAATCCAAAGAAGTATATGTATTTGCCATCCTAAGAGGCAAACAAGTTTGTGTCTCAGTTTCACACCGTGGATCTGAAATCTTTCAACAAAAATAGCAACTCTGAGCTTTACAACTGCTGAGCCAGGGCACTTTATTAGGTCCAGCAGCAGGATATTACTGTGGGCACCTGCATTCTAGTCCTATTTATGATACAAAACGCTTTATACCAACACATAGCTTCTCTGTCACCTGCATTCTCTGTGGCCATCATTCCATTCTATAGACGCCCCTGGAAAATGTACAGCTCGTATGTCAAAAAAAAGTTATTAGGATTCTACCGGTAAAACTCTAGTTTAGGGGTCTTACAAGTTTTATGATTGATATAATTGGAACAGAAATAGAATGGGACCACTGATAATTTAGCATGCTCTGCTCCATCCCATTTCTTTTCCCATGTAAATAATTTCTATTTTATTAAATAATTTATATTTATTTAAATAATTTAGATAATGATAATTAGTAAACATAATAAATTTGTATTAGGAAAGTACAGAAATAATCTCTTAATGTTTAAGAGAGGGGCACATAAAATATCAATTTACCGTGAATTATTTTTATAGCATACTTGACAAGTATATTTTAAAGGAAAAACCAGAATACAATTGAGCAAAATGACACATACTAATGTGACTGAGAGAACTGGAGAAATAGATATGACCGGGAGTAGAAAGTGAGTTTATCTCAGGAAAGAGAAATTATACTTGAGTCCAGGAATATTTAGATTATGGAAATGTGATAATTAGAACATGATAGGATAAAGCAAGCCTCTAGCAGTAACTATGGAATGTTTGAGCAAGTGTACTGTGTAAATCCAAGTTAATATCCTGAGATGGGAGGCCAGTTCAGGTCCATTCCTGAAATAGAAGACATATCTTAACAACTTTATTACCATCACTTTTAATGGATTACATTTAAGAAATAGATGAATATGGCCAGGCACGGGGGCTCATGCCTGTAATCCCAGCACTTTAGGAGCTGAGGCAGGTGGATTACTTGAGCTCAGGGGTTCGAGACCAGCCTGGCCAACATGGAAAAACCCTGTCTGTACTAAAAATACAAACATTGGCCAGGTGTGGTGGCATATGCCTACAGTTCCAGCTACTTGGTAGACTGTGGGAGAATCACTTGAACCCAGAAAGTGGAGGTTTCAGTAAGCCAAGATCCTGCTACCACATTCCAGCCTGGGCTACAGAGTGGGACCCTGTCAGAAAAAAAAAAAAAGAAAAGTAGATGATATGAACAACATCCATCTCATTGCACTTCTTCTTGATAAGAATTAAATAAATAAGCTAGAGGGAGCATAATTTAGCCAGAATAAGCTTTCTGCTAAATCATTTGTACAATTGCTTATTGCAGGCTCACAATTACTTATCACAGAGCTTTCCAACACAGGTCCCTTCAGTGAGTTACAGGTATGCCAAGGCATGGATCCTCTCTGCTCAGGAACAGTCTGGCCGGCCCAGTTAGGTAATGTCTCAGTATGAACAGCCTCCTCTATTTACCCGTAACTGCTGTATAAGTATTATCTTTATGTATACCATGATGTGAATGAATGGATGAAAAAATAAATAAGTGGAAAGACCAATACATCAGATGAGAAATAGTGAATTAAAATAAACCAGTTAAGAACTCCAAACTGAAGGAACTCCAAAATGTTTGTTTTTCTTGTTGTTATTGACTTGGAATCAATATAAATCTTGAGAATAAAAGGGGAAGAAGGGTGGAGAAACCAAGAGAGTTTATGACACTTAAAAATTATATAACTAACATAAAACCAGAAAGCAGTAGTTTCCAAGCTGAAATACTGTCATTCAAGTCAAGTCCTCAACCCAATACAAACTTGTAATTGAGGCATTTGACAACTCTCTATTACCTTTTTCCTCTTCACTGCATTTATTTCTCATCCCTTACTGCCTAAATCTTCCCACTCACAACCAGCTAATCCGTTAACATTTCTCTCCTACTAAACCTTCTCTTTCTTGTACACATTCTTTGACAGGTTATATTTTCTGTTTACAATCTTTGCTCTACCTGGTTGATCAATTTGCCAACAAGAAGTCAGAAACGTAAAGTAGGCCAGATGTATCAGTCAGGACACACTAGGGTATAACAAAGTAACAAATCGTACCATTGTTTCAGTGACTTATAAAAACAAAGGTATTTTTCTCATCCAGGTTACCTTTCCAACACAGTTTGACTGTGGGTCTGCTGCATGAAGGTTTCACTCTGGATCCACATGAACTAAACAGTCTCCATTTGCTATAGTCTCCATCATGGTAGCCAAAAGAAAAAAAAACATCTGACAAAGAATAAAGTAGTTTGTAAAACTTCTTTGGCCAAAGAAAATCACATGGCCAAACTGATTCCATTGCGGAGGAAAGTATTAATATATTTTACCCAGGAGGATGAAGTGTTTATAATAAAAAGAAATACAACTTATCACACATCTTATCTTTGACATTTTCCTTGTTCTTTTCTGTTTTTATCTTCCCTTGTCTGACCTATCCTGAGTGCTCTTTCAAGTGGCCTAATCTTTACCTCTAACATCTTCTTCCATGACTTCTGAGGTTAAAAATCTTGCCATCTGCCTCTTTGTGCATCATATTTGTTATTTCACAAATTACCAGGATACATGCTTTGTCCATTTTAAAATTAGCATATACACATTTTCCCATATTTTTATACTGGGTTCATATATTAATTATATTTACACCTTGTCTATTATAAGCTTTTATGAGTTGTCGATTTCATTTTAAATTCATAAATACAATTTTATGGTATTTGGTTTTAGATTCACACAATTTAAAAGAGCCCAAATAAGTCATTTTCTTGATGCTTCTCTTTGTTATTATATTAGAAAATACTCAAACTCAAGATGATAGAGGTATCTACTTATATTTTTTTCTAGTAATGTGTTGGTTTTATTTTTACATTCAAATCTCTCATCTGTTTAGAATTTTTTCTTTTCAAATTTTATTTTAGATAATGGGGTACATGTGCAGATCTGTTACATGGGAATATTGCAGGATGCTGAGATTTGGGGTATAGATCCCATTACCCAAATAGTAAACATAGTATCTGATAGGTGTCTTTTTTAACCCAGCCTCACCCCCTTCCACCCTCTTGTAGTCCACAGTGTCTACTGTTTCCATATTTATGTCAATGCGTGCTCAATGCTTAGCTCCCACTTTTAACTGATAACATGCAGTATTTGGTTTTCTGTTCCTGTATTAATTTGCTTAAGATTATGGCTTTCAGCTCCATCCATGGTGCTGCAAAGGACGTGATTTCACTCTTTTTTATGGCTGCATAGTGTTCCGCGGTATACATGTACCACATTTTCTTTATCCAGTCTATCATTGGTGGGCACCTGAGTTGATTCTACGTCTTTGCTATTTGAATAGCACAGCAATAAACATACAAGTGCACGTGTCTTTTTGGCAGAATGATTTATTTTCATTTGGGTAAAGGGATTGCTGGGTCAAATAGTAGCTCTGTTTTAAGGTCTTTGAGAAATCTCCAGACTGCTTTCCACAGTGGCTGGACTAATTTACATTCCCATCAAGAGTATAAAAGTATTGCTTTTTCTCCACAACCTCACCAGCATCTGCTGGTTTTTTACTTTTCAGTAGCCATTTTGACTGGTGTGAGATGGTATCTCATTGTGGTTTTGATTTGCATTTCCTTGATAATTAGTGATAATCAACTTTTTTTATGTGTTTGCTGGCCACTTGTATGTCTTCTTTTGAGAACTGTCTGTTCACATCCTTCACCCATGTTTTTAATGGGGTTATTTGGATTTTTTTTGCTAGTCAATTTCTTTAAGTTCCCTATAGGTTCTGGATATTAGGCCTTTGTCAGATGCATAGTTTACAAATATATTCTCCCAGTCTGTAGGTTGTCTGTTCGCTCTGTTGATAGTTTATTTTGCTGTACAGAAGCTCTTTAGTTTAATTAGATCCCACTCGTTTATTTTTGTTTTTGTTGCAATTGTTTTTGGAGACTTAGCCAAAAAGTTATTTGCCATGGCCTGTGTCAAGAAGTGTATTTCCTGGGTTGCCTTCCATGACTTTTATAGACTTTTATAGGTCTTATTTTAAATCTTTAATTCATTTTGGTTAATTTTTGTATATGGTGAAACATAGGAGTCTAGCTTCAATATTCTGCATATGGCTAGGCAGTTATCCCAGCACCACTCACTGAATAGAGAATCCTTTCCCCATTACTTGTTTTTATCGTCTTTGTCGAAGATCAGATGGTTGTAGGTGTGTGGCTTTGTTTCTCAGTTTTCTATTTTATTCCATTGGTCCATGTGTCTGTTTTTGTACCCGTATCAAGCTGTTTGGGTACTGTGGTTTTATAGCATGGTTTGAAATTGGGTAGTGTGATTCCTTCAGCTTTGTTCTTTTTGCTTAGGATTGCTTTGGCTATTCAGGCTCTTTTTTGGTTCCATATAAATTTTAAAATAGTTTTTTCTAATTCCGTGAAGAATGATGTTGGTGACTTGATAAGAATAGCATTGAATCTGTATCCAAAGATGCCAAGAAATTTAGTAAAAATGATTCAAGAGCTGAAATTTATTTTAACATATGTTATGAAGTAGAGATCTAATTTTATTTTTTAAAAATTGCAACTTTTTTATTCAATACTATCATCTGTTATTTTCCCACCAATTTGGTCCATATTCATCATAAAATAAATCCCAATATACACTTAAATATGGCCATGATTTTTACTTTATTTCACTAATATATCTATTCCTTCTGGTGCTGGTATTATTATGACTTTATAATACTTATCAATATTTGATAGAACAAGTATCCTTAGCATTTAAAAAAATGTATTGTTCATACTGTGCTCTCATTCATTCAAAATAAGCTTTAGGATCATTTTATCTAGTCACCAAATTGATCTACTTGATTTTTTATTATGAATTAATTCAGTGTAGATTTGCTGATCATGGACAAATTTAAAATATTAAACCTCATATTTCAAAGTATATCTAATTATTAATTTTTCCTTCAAGTCCTTTATAGTTGTCCTCTCATTGACTCTTTACATTCCTTATTAGCTTGCTTCTTACCCTAGGTGTTTTAGGTGTTTGTTGTATTTTGATCAAGCATTTTTGTAATTGTCTTTGTTGCTGCTGCTGATGTTTACTATTAAATATTCTAACAGGTTATTTCTTGCTTCTGATGTTGTTTACCATTGTATATTCTAACAGGTTATTTCTTGTATATAGGAAAGCTATTATATTTACACACTTACATTAACTCACTTAATAAGTTTTGTGATTTTTTTGGTGGATTCTGGGCTAGGTTTTCCAAATGGACAATCTTACAATCTGCAAATTATAATAATGCTTTTGAATATACTTTCTCAGTATTCACTCTTTTATTCTTATTTCATTGGCTGTGATGTTTAAGAGGCATGTTAGCATGTTACACTCAATTCCCCATCCATTCAATGAGTTGCTAAATCTTGCCAACTGTGGCTCTACAATATCTCTCTCCTATTTTGTATGTCTGCTCTAATTCTGTCACTCATCAAAACTAACTGATCTTTATGATTCATAAAGATTTCCCTGTCTGGGGAGAATTCATTGACGGCAGGCCACACTCCAGGAAATGTTAAAGGAAATTCTTTGGGCAGAAAAGAAAAAAATGACACCTGAAGGAAATTTTTGTATCTTCCCAGAGAAACAAAGATTACTCAAAATGGTAAATGTGTAGGATACTGTAAAATAATATTTAAAGATAAAACATTCTACATATATAGAAATAAAATGTATAATAATAATAATGGCACAAAAAATGGAGGGAAAAAATGAAAGTGTACTGTTTCAAGGCTCTTATACTATACGCAATGAGGAATAATGTTATTTGCAGGTAGACTAAGTGGTAATCCTAAAGGTGCCCATGATAAAACTTAACAGCAGTGGTATTCCAGTAGAAAGCCTTTAGTCTAAAATTGAGGATTCTAAAGAGCTTGTTTACATGGGTTCTATCTGTTAGTATTTATCATATTATAAACTAATTTTTAAATAAGTTTTTAAGTGTTAATATATTCTTAGTTTGTTTGGGATACCATAACAAAATACTGTAAACTGAGTAGCTTATAAGCAATATAAATTTATTTTTCACAGCTCTGGAAGCTGGGAAGTCTAAAACCAAGGCATTGGTAGATTCAGTGTCTGATGATGAACTGCTTTCTTGTTCATAGACAGCGCCTTCTAGCTGTGTCCTTAGAAGGCAGAAAGGCTGAGGGGTTTCCTTTGGGACTCTTTTAAAAGGGCACTAAGCCTATTCATGAGGGCTCTGCTCTCATGACCTATCACCCCCAAAGGGCCCCAACTCCTAATACCATCAGTTTTAGAATTAGGATTTCAACATATAAATTTTGGAGGAACACAAACATTCAGACTATAGCAAAATTCAATATATGACAACACACAAATATCATATAATGAGAAATTACTATATGTAGCAGAAATGGTTTAAACTGTCATTATTTTATATTTTGCAAATTTCCTTAATGTTGGCCTAAGAAAAGACAGCTAAATTCCCATATCTGCATTCATCTGTAATCTGTTTTAACATAACATGACATAATGGCGTGTTGAAACCCTCATTGTATGTTTGTGACAACAAGAGATGTAAAACTGCAAATAACTCATAGTATTACTGTGAAAATAGCTTTGACCTCACAGATTCCTTAACATGGCTCAAAGAACCACAAGATTCTCTGCCCAAGAGCCAAAGCAAAAGAAATAAAACAAAGAGGTATAGCAATAAGAAACAAGTGAGAATAAAATGTAATACTAAAAATCACTTACTGCAAAGAAAAGGAAAACAGCAAAAAAGGAATGAATAAAGTACAGATTCAACAAATAGGAAACAAGTAGCCACATGGTAGACTTACACTATAATGGTACTTACATTAAACATAAATGGATAAAACATTAATGGGATACAGTTATCAGACTTTATCAAAAATTAAGACCCAACTGTATGCTATCTAAAAGCAACTTCTTACAAAACATACAGACAGATAAATTACGTGTGAAAAGATGGAAAAAGATGAACCATGCAAACATGTTAATCATAAGTAAAGTGGCTATTTTACTACCAGTAAAATGGACTTCAGAACAAAGAATATAACTTACCAGGAATAAGGAAGTATCGTTGATCCTATTTGTGAATTCCATATTTTTAAATTCGCCTACTCACTAAAATTTCTTTGTAATCCCAATATCAATATTTCTAATACTTTTTTTTTTTTTGAGACAGAGTTTCACTCTTGTTGCCCAGGCTGGAGTGCAGTGGTGCGATCTCAGCTCACCGCAACCTCCGCCTCCCGAGTTCCAGCAATTCTCCTGCCCCAGCCTCCTGAGTAGCTGGGATTACAGACGCCTGCCACCATGCCTGGCTAATTTTTTGTGTTTTTAGTAGAGATAGGGTTTCTCCACGTTGGGCAGGCTGGTCTCAAACTCCTGATCTCAGGTGATCTGCCCGCCTCGGCTTCCCAAAGTGCTGGGATTACAGGCGTGAGCCACCGCACCCGGCCCCCAAACTTTCAGACTTATCCATGGACCTGCACACGGCAGCAAAAAATTTTAGTCTTCCAACATTCATGTTCCTAACTGAAGTTGAGCAAGGCAATACTCTGCCTTCTTGCTTTAGCTCTCCTACCGAGATGACCAGAAGATGGAGACTGTGTGAGGCAGTGCAGCGTAGTGTTAAGAAGCTTTGGCTCTGAGGACAGTTAATATGTAGATCCCCACTCTGGTAACCTGTTAGTGGGACAGCCTCAGGCAAGCTACTTACTTAACACTTCTGAATCTAATTTTCTCTTTTGTAGATCAAATAAAATAGAATCTATGAAGATGCATTGTAGTAGAATTTAAGATAATAATCTATATAAGTATGTACATATTTTCCCTAGGATCAGTATTCACTAATTCAATGTTCTCAGTGACATTTTGGAACATAACTACCATGAAAAATGATAATAGCTATTATCATTAACTATTTAAAAGAGCCAACTCTTCAAGAAGAAATAAAAATACGTAAATGTTTATGTACCTAAAATTAGAGCTTTAAAATACAAGAAACAAAAACTAACAGACATATAGAGATATAACAAATCCAACAATTAGAGCTAGAAATTTCAAGACTCCGTCCTCAGTAATTCATAGAATGAGTTGGAACAAAATAAGTATGAATCTAATTAACATTTTAGTATACTCAACTCAGTTGGAGAATACACATTATTTTTCTAAGTGCACATCAAACACTCTCCAAGATAGGCCTGTGCTGGTGCATAAAACAATTCTCAATAAATGTAAAAGAATTATAACTTTAAAATAATAAAGACCTAAAATTGATCATCTGAAGTTCCACCTTAAAAGCAAGAAAAAAGCAAAAAGTAAGTAGGAGGAATGAACAGAGCAAAAATCAGTGAAATAGAGAAGAGAAAAACAATGGAGAACAACAATAAAACCAAAAACTCATACATAACCTCAAGCTAGACTATTCAAGGAAAAAGAAAGGCAAAAACTACCTATGTTAAGAATTGAAGAGAGAAAATCACAAACAATCCTATATGCATTAAAATTATAATATTATGAAATTTTTATGGCAATAAAGTCAAAACTTAATGAAGTAGTCAACTTTTGAAAGGCACAAAAAATGACCAAAACTAACTGAAGAAGTAACAGTAGTACAATAGCTAAAGAAATCAAATTCATAATTAACTTCCCCAGACACCACCACCACCACCAAACCTTCAGGGACAGATGCCGCATTGGTGAATTCTATCATACACATAGCAACAAATAATTCCAATTCTATGCAATCTCTTTCAGCATACAAAGGAAAAACAAACCTTTTTTTCTTGTAATACAAAAATATACACATGCATAACTAACAAGCAATAGGGGAAAATGTAAACTATTTTAAATAATCTATACAATAAGAAACCATAGAAAAAGGAACACAGAACATGTTCTGTGTTCTGTGTTTATGTTTATGGAGAAACATAAATCAACTTGGAAGGTAGTAGATTTAAGTCCAGTTACATAAGTAGCTTTATTAAATGTAAATGAATTAAATACTCTTATTAAATGACAAAACTTGTCAGACTGGATTAAAAAACGACAACAGTAGACACAACAGATACACCTTAAACATAAGGATGAAAATAGATTGAAAGTACAAGGAAGGGAAAAGTTTACGATGCGAATCCTAAATAAAAGGAAATTATTGTAAACATACAAATACAGTGTTTGTGGCAAGACACATCACTGAAGATGAAGGAACATATCAATTCACCAGGAATATAAGTCTAAATTTATCTGAAATGAATGATGGGTTCAAATTATATAAAGCAAAACTTGACAGAACTAAAAGAGATATAGAAAAATCTTCCGTAATAGTGATAGGTGTTTTTCAGTAATTGAAAGGTAAAACATAAAGCTTTTAGAAAATAACATAGGGGAATATCTTTAATGATCTTGGGTAGATAAATTTTTCAGAAACAGAATGCATAATGCACTAGCTATTAAAATGTTTAATTTCATTTCTACAAAATTAAGAACTTTGCATTGCTAAAAAAAAAAAAAAAAAAAAAAACCTTTAAGAGAAAAAACCCAAAGTAATAAATAGAGAAAATATTTGCACTGGATATACCCCTCAAAGAACTTATATCCACAATACAAAAAGAACTCTTATAAATCATTAAAAATAGAAAGTTTAATTTTTTTCAATGCACAAAACAATTGCACAGAAGAAAATATCCAAAGGGCCAAAACTCATTTGAAAATAATCTAAAGCTAATGGGTCATCACACAAACCCTAAAATGGCCAAAATTTAATTCTCACAATACCTTCTTTTGTCAAGAATGTAGAAATAGAACTCCCATACACTGCTTTTGGGACTGTACACTTGTACCACCACTCAGGAAAACTATTTGGCAATTTCTACTAAAGCTGAACGTATGAACAGGCTGTGATGCCACAATTTCACTCATAGGTATACTCCTAACACAGTGCAACATTTGCACACCAGAAGTCATGTGATGCACCATTAAAGAAAGATTACTGGTGGGAGCCTCAAATTAAAAACAATATCGCTCAGCAGTAGAATAAAGCACATAATGGTGAACTGAAACAACAAAATGCCCATACTAATGCTGTCTGCCACATGCAAAAGCATAGATGGATCTCTTATAGAGCTAAGTGAAAGAAGTCAGACAAAAAAAGAATACTTACCCTAATGCAGTTGGATTTTCTATGACGATAACAAAGTTCCCTTAACTTGCTCAGATTTCATCTAAAGCTCTGTACCTAATTTTGTATTTATAATTTTGTTTTTATTTATTTAAAGAGAGTTGCCAAAATTGCTTAAGTTTTCAGACCCCAATGAATCTTTTCTTTTCTCTTGCTTTATGATTCCAAAATAGAAAAATTAAACTGCAGTATTAGAAATCAAGTTAGTGGCTAACTTGAAGATGGAGTGATTAGTAACTGGAAATAGGCACAGGCTTGGCTTCAGGGAAGCTGGTGATGTTCTCTTTATTAATCTGCAGAGATAAATCTATGATAATAAATGTTTAGCAACTTGCTTCCTGGAAGCAAAGGAACCGATATTTGAATATTCCTGCCATGCTCAATTTCAAGCAGTTGAACAACCAGAATATTTAACAATAACTCTCAAAAATTAATGCAAGCCATCTCCAGCACACCACTCTAGGGTTTGGTTACATGGTCATGTTCATTTTGAGATATTTCATTGACATATAAACTTCTGATGTAGTTTATCTTCTGTTGTTGTTTTAATTTCAATAAAAATAATACTTAAGGAATTCTAGAGGTTATACTCTTCCATTTAGGAAGTATTAAAACATAAAATCAAAAGCAAAACAAAATAAACAAATACTGAAGACCATTCAGACAAATTCAAGTTATTACGGAAATGGATACAGTGAATAAATTAAAAAGTAAATGTATTCTGAAATTTTACAAATTAGGAAGAAAAGGTATATACAAATACATCTGAGATTTAAAAACACTATGTACAAATCTCTGCTAATGCTATTTCACATTACACTGTAATTATGTATTTACTTTTCTGCAATTCCTTAGAAGGCTATACTCCTTAAAGGCAGTCACTGGGTTTTGTTTAACTCTGTAATGTTAGGCACGTAATAAATGCCTGACATACAATGTGCATTAAATAAACATATTGAATAAATTACACATTATACAATAGGGCAATATTTAAGAGTTTTAAGATGATAGCAGACACATGATAATGATGCTGGAGGTCACAGTCAGAGTATGAAGAAGCCACTCCTAGCTGCTGTGATCAGAGAATATATATTCCTATGTACTTTGGGCCATATGGTTCTACTTGCAATAAAATGCTCCCCCTAGACTCCACAAGAGGTCAGAGTCTTCTTTCTTGATCTAATGAGGCTAGGGGATCTTATTTAACAAACCAGGCATATAACAGCTGAAAGAAAAGAGCTCATTTTTTCTTTGATAGTATTGCTGAGTGCAGAAATTATGCAAAGCAAGCAGAAAAAAATCCTGTGTGTATTTCAAAGTATTACACGGATGCTTAAAATAACTTTTTATTTTACATTTAGCTATCTTGAGTATAGCCAGGGGTGTCAATAGCTTTCTATAGGTTATAGTCCCTGAAAATATTTAACAAGAGTAAAATGAAAGTTCAGCAAAAAAAAAAACCTGTTATAGCTACCTCACTTAAACGTTCAGATCTCATACTTGCCAGTGATCCCTCAATCAGATTCTCAGGGAATGTGAGCTCAAAGAGCATATTATGTCCAATGGCATAGTGGCAAATGATTATATGGATGTTGCTTGCTCTCCTGTGTTTTCCTTTTTTTTTTTTTTTTAGTGATCCAAATATAACTCAAAATCAAGGTGCCAGTTGGTGGGTGGGTGGTGGTGGTGGTGATGGTGATGGTGGTGGGGCGGGGTGGGGGGTGGCGGCACGTTTGTGTGTGTGTGTGTGTGTGTGTGTGTGTGTGTGTGTGTGTTTTCCTTTCTGGGCTAATCCAGAAAAAACTGTTATCCCAGAGATGAGCAGAGCTTCTCATCTAGGCATGTGATGGAGGGGAGAGGTAGACAGAAAAAGAAGCTTAAACTTTCACAAATTTATGTTTGCTGGAATAACTTAATCTTTTTCTAAGGGTTGTCCAAAATGTATGTTTCCATATTACTCAGAGTCTGATAATAAATGCATTTCAGGATCAAGAATAACACTGGACTCTAAGTTCCCATTAACAAGTACTAAAAAGAGTGTAGGGGAGAAGGTAACCAAGTAGCAAGCTGACCACCAATGGCAAGGCCACCATTAGATTCCATAACAACACTGGTCATCTGGCTCAGAACAAGATGTCAAGCTGAAAGGAAATGCTGGCCATGGACAAGAAAAGTAGAGCCATTTTCAGCATGTCCTGAGACCCTCCTCAAACAGGTTGAGCAATGGAGAGAGAATAATCATCTCCTAAAGTAAATAAACTGGAAATAAGATACAATTCAGTCCCATGTTATGTGATTGTGACTCATGAAAATTTTAGATAAAGTGATATAGAAATAATGGTAAAGTCTCAACATAGATAAATAATTGAAATAGTGAAAAATACTCACAATTGTTTTTAATGTGTAGACAACCATATGTTTTTTTGTTGTTGTTGTTGTTGTTTTTGAGACAGAGTCTCACTCTGTTGCCATGGTTGGAGTGCCGTGGCACTGTGTCGGCTCACTGCAACCTCTATCTCTCAGGTTCAAGCAATTCTCCTGCCTCAGCTTCCCGAGTAGCTGGGATTACAGGCATCCACCACCATGCCCGGCTAGTTTTTATATTTTTAGCAGAGATGGGGTTTCACCATGTTGGCCAGGCTGGTCTTGAACTCCTGACCTCAGGTGATCCACCCGCGTCAGCCTCCCAAAGTGCTGGGATTACAGGTGTGAGCCACCACGCCCGGCCGAGAACAATATGTTTTAAAGTTTCTGGAGCCAAGTGAATTCCACAGCATGCTATCTCTGGTTGACAAACATTCTTTGTGAGAATCATCCTTTGTCGGAATCAGCCTTTATTGTAAATTTCTGTGCACAGAGCTTCTTATTCAGCAAGTCTGGAAAGTACTCAAGAATA
Source organism: Homo sapiens (assembly GCF_000001405.40). Taxonomy (NCBI): domain Eukaryota; kingdom Metazoa; phylum Chordata; class Mammalia; order Primates; family Hominidae; genus Homo; species Homo sapiens. The sequence continues at coordinate 53,020,771 of NC_000002.12, forward strand.
TCTATTTTTATATAAGTTTCTCGGCTAACTCTAATGCACCCAATCCATGGCCTACAATTTTAGAATTCTTTCCAGAGACTGTAAAACTCCCTAGGGTAGAAAAGTATACTGAGTTGGGGAAAAGTATACTGTACTGATTGAAAGTAGGAATTCCAGCATCTTATTTACAATTCTGGCTTTACTACTCATTAGCTCTATGTTTTTAGTAAAGTAATTAACCTCTCCTCCCCGAGCCTCAGTTCCCTCATTTGTAAAACGAAGCTAATTGTAGAACTCAACTCACAATCTATTTGTGAGGCTAAACTACATCCAGACTAAGGATTGTTCAAAAAATGTTTGCTATTGTTATTATTATTAAACTTGTGTTGTAAACTCTCAGTAAAGCGCACCTGGTGCTCAAATAATAGTTTATGAATTGCCTTGAAGAGAATGTAAGTACAATGAACTTTACAGTGGATTCTAAATGTTCAATAGAAATATTTTATAGCTAAGCTCTAGTTTAACATGTATTCTTAGAAACAACATGTATGAGATGTGAAATTGCCATTAGCCTAGTGGTAGTAGTAATAGGATGGGCCAGGTGATGCACACTCAGCAAATTAACCCTGAAACATAAGAAAAGTGTGTGTTTTTCATCACAGTATATGACTAATGCTAGTCAGGGAGGCACTTAAAGGGGAACTGTACTCTATGCAGGCTGACAATGTCTCTACCATCTGGAATGTTCTATTTTTGCCGGTCAGAGGAAAAGACAGCTGGAAAGTCCCACGCTAGATTTTTACAATTTTGTTCCAGAAGGAATTTACATCACTTTCCCTCACAGCCCATTGTCCAAAATGAGTCACGTGGACCCAGCTCCCTGCAAGGGGGATAAAAATGTCAGCAAGCTGATGGAATGGTAGGTGAGTACCACTGTCCCTAGTCTATTAGCATTTGTAATGACAGTTACAGCCACCAAAAATTCAATCTTACTATGATCTATGTAGTTATAAGTATGTATAGTTTCTAATGTTATTCTCACAACAGCCTTGTGTCTTACATATTATTATCTATTGTCAAAGGAGAAAACAGGGATAGAAGAGCTAGTTAACCAATTTGTCTCACAATGTCACCATTTCACTCATCTCTTTGTCATCATTTCTCACCGAGGTGGACCTATGGCTATTCTTTTCTGAAGCTGACCCCTCCACCTATGCTGTCTTTACCAGAACTATGCACTTGACCATTTTCTTCTTCCTCATCCCCAGGAACTCCACCACTGGTACTTCGCCTTATGCCACTATCATCACCACTGGTACTTCTCCTTATGCCACTACCATCACCACTGGTACTTCTCCTTATGACACTGGCACCACCACTGGTACTTCTCCTTATGACACTGGCATCACCACTGGTACTTCTTATGACACTGTCATCACCACTGGTACTTCTCCTTATGACACTGGCATCACCACTGATACTTCTCCTTATGACACTGGCATCACCACTGGTACTTCTCCTTATGACACTGTCATCGCCACTGGTACTTCTCCTTATGACACTGTCATCACCACTGGTACTTCTCCTTATGACACTGTCATCGCCACTGGTACTTCTCCTTATGACACTGTCATCACCACTGGTACTTCTCCTTATGACACTGTCATCACCACTGGTACTTCTTATGACACTATCATCACAAGGTGGGAAGCCATAAAAAGTGCCACATCTCTACTGTGTTCTCAAGTTCGCTTTTCGTTTACTTTTAAGCTTCCCAAAACATGGTCTATAATGTGTAATTTCTACTTTACCCCTCACCTAAGACCTTGAAATCAGCCCTGTACTCTCATTATAACTGTAGTTATCCACTGTAACTGTAGATATGCAAATATTGGAAATCTTGATGAAACCAAATGAGTACCAGAAATAAAGTTTTGGAAGCTGACTCTGAATTCTTGTGCCATAATAACTGTGTAACCTCCAGCAAACTATTTAATTTCTGTGGCTCCAATTCCTCATTTCTGAAGAATGGCTCAACGATATTTGGACGGCTGAACTTACACCTTGGTTTGGTGGATTTAACATCATCATGTAAACAAAAGTGAGAAACCAACAAGCAATTTGGAATAACCCTTTATGGTTTTAATTTTCAAATCAAATAACATCTTCTCAGTCTTTAACCAACTGTTTCTGCCAAAATACACCCCCAAAAATTCCAAACACTCAAATCCTTTTATAAATTCCCCCCATTATTTTTTTCTCTTCAGTTAACAAACATGCTCAATTTTCTCCCCTCTATTAAACCATTCCCCAGTTCTTTGCCTCCATGTCCAGTTGCCAGTGGTTTGTCTCCATGCCTCTCCTTCTCATGGATATCTTCTGAATGGTATAGTCTATTTATCCATTGTCCATGTCCTACCATTTGCACATTGACCTAGGTATTTGTCTTCTCCACAGATTATCCACATACTTCTATGTAAAGTCTCTAGTCACTTCCTAATTATTAAATCCAATGAATACTTAACCAGCCTTATTTTATTTTAATTCTGGGACTGACATGTTGACTACTCTCTGCTCAAAATTCTCTTCTCATTTGTACTCTATGACACCACTGCCTTCCACCCCTGCAGCCATTCCTTTCAGGCTTTTCCTCAGGGTTCTCTTCCATTTCCTATACCTAAAGCATAGATGATCATCAGTGTTTTATCATTAGTCCTCTTTCCTACGCATTTTAAAAATATTTTCCTGAATTAGCTCATCTCTTCTCATGAGTTAGTTGAGAAAAGCTAGCTCTTTAATGCTGACGACTTCTAAAGCTACATCTACAAACATAAAAATAAACCAGAAATCCACCCCAATGGGCCCATGCATAAACCACATTTGATGATTTTCTCAAAACTCTGCAACATGAACTCAACTCCAGGAAGACTCACTGAACATACCTGACTCATCTCCACCTTCATGCCATTTCTCTTGTTCTATCTACAACTATCGCTTGTCTCCATCTTCTTTCATCTATCCAGATGTTATGCATCGTTCATGCTCCACCAGTTTCCCACGGCTTTCCAACAACTTATCTTGGTTCACAGCTTTTTTCTTTTTCTGAATGTCTTTACTAGTTTCTCCAATAAACACTGTTTCAAATATCCTGCTAGGATTGAGGGTTTGGTTTTTTTTTATAACTTCCCCCTTCCTCTAGATATTTATAGCGGCACTTATTTTGTATATGTGGCTCTGCCACCCAGCCACAGATAACTGAATCAGATAGTAAAAATTTGTCCCGTGATGAACCAGTCAGGATCTCTGTCCTAATAACTGGAATCGGGACTCAGAGATAGCTAATCACTCTGACTTGATTACTTAAATTTAAAATGTATAAAGTGGAGAATCATAGAAATGCCATTTTTAGATAAGTGCACGATGAAGCAATAAAATCCTGACCTATAGAAAAAGAAAAGAAGAAAGCAGGTGTGCAGAAGAGAGCAGACATGAGATTTCAAGGCAGCTGCTGACTAGTTTTCTAATAGTTTTTCAGTCTCTTACGATGTTTAGTGGCATATCCTGCCTTGGGCAAGGATACTCTGATGTCCTTCTAATTCCCTTTTTGCTTCATAGTTTGAAGGGATTTTTAAAATACTTTTAGCAAAATGAAATGTAACCAAACTCACTCATTTTTACACCTATCACATATTATCCTATGCTGTTACTTAGCTATTTCAAATGTATACAGTGTGTTTCCCTACTTAGATGGCAACCTTCTGTAATGAGAGAATTTTGTCTGATGGTTTTACTTTTTTTCTTGAATCCTCCCAGTAGTTCCCATATGTACTATGGGAACTCAGTGAAATTCACTGATGCAAGCAGTCCGGTAAACCTAACTCTGTTTCCCCTCTTTAGAGTCTACCACAATGCTGTGAACACATTGATACTCTCATATTTAGTTTAAATAAATTTATCACTACTAAAGAAAACATTAGGGAAACTCTCAAGGACATTAGTTTGGGCAAAAATTTCTTCAGTAATACTCAAGCACAGGCAACCAAGGCAAAAAAGGGCAAATAGGATCACATCAAATTAAAAATTTCTACTCAGCTAAGGCAACAGTCAACCAAGTAAGCCGACAACTGCAGAATTGTGGAACATATTTACAAACTAACTATCTGACAGGTGATTAATAACCAAACTATGTAAAAAATTCAAACAACTCTATAGGAAAAATCTAATAATTGAGACAAAAAATGGGCAAATATTTGAATACACATTTCTCAAAAGGAAACATACAAATGGCAAACAGGCATTTTTATGAAAAAGTATTCAACATATTGATCATCAGAGAAATGCAAATGACAACTACAGTGAGATATCATCTCACCACAGGAAAATGGCTTTTATCCAAAAGACAGGCAATAGCAAATGCTGACGAGGATGTGACAAAAAGGGAATCCTCATGCACTGTTGATGAGAATGCAAATTAGTACAACCACTATGGAGAACAGTTTGGAAGCTTCTTAAAAACTAAAAATACAGCTACCAGCGGGGTGCAGTGGCTCACGCCTGTAATCCCAGCACTTCGGGAGGCCGAAGCGGGCAGATCACTTGAGGTCAGGAGTTCAAGATCAGCCTCGCCAACATGGTGAAACTCCATTTCTACTAAAAATACAAAAATTAGCCAGGCGTGGTGGCAGGCATCTGTAATCCTAGCTACTTGGGAGGCTGAGGCAGAATGGTTTGGGCCTGGGAGGCAGAGGTTGCAGTGAGCCGAGATCGTACCACTGCACTCCAGCCTGGGCAACTGAGCAAGATTCTGTCTCAACCAAAAAAAAAAAAAAAAAAAAAAAAAAAAAAAAAAAAAAATAGAGCTACCATATGATACAGCACTCCCACTGCTGGGTATATACCAAAAAGAAGGGAAATCAGTATAACAAAGAGATATCTGCATTCCCATGTTTATTGCAGCACTGTTCACAATAGCCAATATTCAGAAGCAACCTAAGTGCTTACCAACAGATAAATGGATAAGGAAAATATGGTACTTATACACAATGGAGTACCATTCAGCCATAAAAAATAATTATATCCTGTGATCTGCAACAATGTGGATGGAACTGGAGGTCATTAAGTTAAGTGAAATAAGCCAGTCACAGAAAGACAGACATCGCATATTCTCACTTATCTCTGGGATGTAAAACTCAAAACAATTGAACACATGGAGGTAGAGAGTAGAAGGATGGTTATCAGAGGCTTGGAAAGGTAGTGGAGGGTTTGGGGGAGATGGGTATGGTTAATGGGTATATAAAATAGTTAGAAAGAATGAATAGTACCTAGTACTTGATAGCATAAGAGGGTGACTGTAGTCAAAATAACTTAATTGCACATTTTAAGCTAACTAAAACAATATAATTGAATTGTTTATAACACAAAGGATAAATGCTTGAGGGGATGGATACCCCATTTTTCATGATATGATAATTACACACAGCATGTTGTATCAAAATATGTCACGTAATCCATAAATATATACACCTACTATGTACCCACAAAAATAAAAAATAAATAAATGTTTCTGAGATTTCCATGTCTATTATTTTCAATCTTCTCTCTTCACTTCTTAAAGCAAAGAAATAAATAGGAGTGGTGACAGGGAGAAAATCAAGAAAAGATGCTGATAATAAGACTCTTCAATCAAATCTTTTCTTATTCTATTATTTTCTTCACCTTTACTAATACTTGCTCACTCTTCAGAAAGGTGATTGGGAGTGATGCTTAAATAATCAAACCGCAGACATTATGGACTGATTCTTCGTTTTTATTCTTTGCAGAACTTAATGAATACATCCAAATATGCTTTGACCACCACTAAGTAAAAATAGGCTAGGATTAGAAAATAGAACTGGAGTCTTATCCTTGCCCTGTTGTTAATTATTTGACCTTTGGTAAGCTACTTGATATTCCTGCACCTCAGTTTCCTCAGGTGCCAAATGACAGTCATATATTCTACTATTAATCTCCAAGAAAATGTAAAAATGAAAAGAAGTAGTAAGTTAGAAAAGCTTTTAGAAGCCCACATTAAATACGGTCATAGGAAGATTAATAATCAAATACTACTTTGCATTTTTAACAGAATTTGTCTGAGTGTGAAAAGAAACCTCTAGATATTTAAAATATCTCTAAACTTATAATGAGATTCTTTATCCTCCACGTCCCTTTCTTAGCCTATGTTCGACCTACCTGCTGTTTATCCTTTCCAATCTTTCTGTTTCCTCTTGAGCCCAGACTGCCAGCTGTGTTAAATTGTGTGATAATTCTGTGCTGTGAACAGTTCCCTGAGGAAGCAGAGCCAAATGCCATCTCTGTGACTTGTCTTGGGAAGAGAAAAGTTCCAAATTGAAAACTCATAATGTCAATCCCTTGTGGTTGCTCTTACCACTCTACTGTTCATAAAGACCTTGAAGCAAGAAGTAATGGCCCTATGATAAAGACCAAATCACCATTATCAGTTGGAGAGCTCTCTGCTGTGGCTCAGAGTTCAGTGTTAGACAGACTGGCGTTTGGTCTTCATCAACTAAGGATGACTCTAAAATAAGAGGTATCACTCAAGCCTTGGGAAATAACTTTCACAAGCCTTCATAAGGACACATTTTCATTTCAGACAACATTGAGCAAAGGGCCATGTCGGTTATTCTTAATGGTTTTTTCAGTGGGTTTTTGTTTTTTCTGTTTTTTGTTACTGTTGCTTTTCTTTAAAAAAAAATCTGTACAGAATTATAATGTTGCTTTAGTGATAGAAAGTACATGTACCTGGAGATCTGTGGGGAAAAAGTGTTAGAAAACTACTTTTCAAATCTGAAAAGTAAGCATCATACATGCACAAACATGGCTGCTTTTTTCTTTCATTTTTATTTGTTTTAAACATGGCTTTTCTAAGTCATAAAACAAAAGGTTTAAATCTCTCTTTTAAATCTGTTGGGTAAATGAAGAGATGGCTTGTCTGTGAAAATGCTTTCCAACGAATTTCAATACCTTAATGAATAATAGATAAATTTCATTTCCTCCCGATCCTTTCTCTATGTGGCAGCCAAAGTGATCTTTTGAAAACCCAAATCTAATCATGTCATTTCTTGATTAAAACTCTTCAGCAGGTCCCTAATGTCCTCAAGATAATGTCCAAATTATTATATTTTAAAAGAGCTTTATGACTGGTCCCTAATTATTTCTCAACTTTGGGTCTCTAAGCCATACCCTGTAATGTACCCCTTCATTGCACTGCTCCTCCTCCGCCACTTCCTGACACATACAACCAATTAATCTGGATTCTAGTTATATTGACTGTTTCACGAACCACTTAAAACCACCCTAAAACCATGTTCTGTCCCTCTGTCTCAGGTTTTACTGGCTCCTAATCTTGAGGTGTGCCCTTTTTCACATGCCTTTCAAGCACTCTGTACTCACCCCTCATGATTTTTATCACAGATATGAGTTCATTCCTCAAGGTCAGTGTCACCTTGTATGCCCATGACTTAAAGTCCAGCATCAAAGCATTGCTCAATAAATATTTGAAGTAGGTCTATGAGAGATGGCTGGAAGAGAGGGAGAAAGGAAAAAAGGGAAGGAGAGAGAGAGCAGGGAGATCAAGACTCCTAAAGTAATCAGGTTCATTTCTGCTGATATCCAGTTTAGGAATTTGGCCTCTGGATTCCTCAAATGCTCCAGGATTTCCTCATCTCTGCTCCTTCCCTTTTTCTGAGCTGGCTATGCCCCAAATTAGTATTTGCTCTTTGCTGCCACATTCCTCCCAGATCCTCCCAGAAATGTTTCTCACCAAAACAAATGTATTTGGCCTCAAAGCCCTTAGGCATTAAAAAGTATCCTTTTTTAAACTCAAGACTGGGGACCTCGGTTATTCAAGATAACAAAGGAGAAGCAGCCCAGAAAACCCAAAAAGGGCTGTGTAGCCAAAGATGAAACCAGAATTTAATTTTGGCCAAGTACCACATAATCCGAGAGCACTGGTCTCTTTAACTCAATCTGTCTTTTATCTCTTTATATCCATTTAATTAGACATATTCAATGTGATTAAATGGCAGTATTAAATGTAGCAGAGTACCCTATGAAGATAAAACTTGTTTTGTTATTGTGAGATGGAGCCTGTGGAGGGTAATTAAGTTCAGATGAGGTCATGAGGATGGAGTTACCCATGATGGGATTAACGCCCTTGTAAGAACGTAAAGAGATAAGAGCTCTTTCTCTCCACCATGTGAAGATACATCAAGAAGGTGGCTGTCTATAAACCAGGAAGACGGCGCTCAACAGACTGAGTCTGCTGATGCATTGATCTTGGGCTTCCTAGTCTCCAAAACTGTGAGAAATAAATGTCTGGTGTTTAAGCCACCCATTCTATGGTAATTTGTCATTGAAACCCTAGTTAAGAAAGACAACTTGTTAGTGAGAGAAATTACTACTCATATCACCCTATAGGCAGAAACAGGAATTGACCACAGAATCATTAAAGATGGTATTTCTTGCAAGAATAAATGCTGACAGAAGAGACTTTAAATGGAAAGAGAAATTACCCTCTTAAAAAAAAAAATGAGGAAAATAGGTACGGACTTCCTGAGAGTGTAATGTACCATGTACTGATGGACACCAGAACCATTCTTGCCCTTCTATTGTGTGCCTGTCTATAGCGATCCGGAAAAGTGAGCTAAATATGCCTGGCTAGATTCGCAGGCCCTGAGATTAAATAGAACCTGGCAAGTTTCTGATTATGCTACTGTCTTCTAAACCCAAAGCCGTTGGACATATTCTTCAAAGTGCTACAAATCTACTCTCTTAACTTTGCACACATTAACAGATTTAAAAAAAATTTAATTATAGATAAGACATGCAAAATTGACGTTAATTACATCCTTAGGCTTTTCTTTCTCTTTACTTTTTTCATATTAGAGGGAGAAACTCACCTAGCAAAGATGTGCATTGGTGTGTACGTGGATAAGTTATCTCATGTTGATGCTCTTTTTTATGGCTGCATTGTTGGTAAAGAGGCAGAATGTTACACTTCTTACTAAGTCAAAGTAGAATGATGGCAAAATGTGAAGTTTATTATTAGAGTAATTATTAATGAACGTGCTACAAAATGGTGAAATAGAAGAGATGCGCTCAGTTTTGTTAAATGAAAAATCAGCACAGAATCATCATAGAATAGCAACAAGAAATTTAATTTTGGATATCTGCTGGAAGTCTCACTTTTATGAAAGCAGAATAACTGATGAGAATTGAAAATAAATGATAAACTTAAGTTACAGAGGTGAGAAGAGAGCCATAGGTAGGAAGAATAAAAGTGGTTGCTGCTCAATATAACAGAAGCCCTGTAAAGTGAAGCCAACTACTGTTGAACTTAATCCAAATTGTACTATCACAACCTGGGGCTTCTACTTTCTATTCACGCATGGTTACTTCACCAATCTTTCATTGTCTCTGCTCTTGCCATCTGGTTTCAGCAACAGTTATCTCCAGAAAAAATTGTAAGTCAAGCATCTTGTCACTTTAATGAAGTTTACTAAAGACTCAGATATTACAGAAGAGGCATTGGGTCACAGGTCTCAAGGCATTCCATCATTGCTTTGGTTCTTTCCTCAGCCTTCCTGCAAAGAACCCTAAAAGTATAATCTGGTCTCCTAAAACCACTGGTGGGAGAGAAGTCTAGCCAGAGCAGTTTCATAACCCCAGCCCTCTGGGAAAATAAGGAATACATTTTGCTCCACCTATGACATGAATTACTCACTGAGCTAAGTAGGCTAAGACATCTCCTATCTCTTTCAGCCATTTCAATTTTTGAATTAAATTGTTTTATAATTAAACCATGCTTCCACAGTCTGTTGAAAATTATTGAACCTATTACATGCGTGAAACATTTGCATGTAAAAAGCACTCAAAGTTAACTACATGCACACTAATGAACAATGGAATATCACAGAGCTATCTAAATAGTTTCAGCCTATTTTTGATCATGTCCAAACTCAAATGTTAATAATGTATAATACTTTGTAATGCTTCCTCTTTATATTAGTGGTTTTCTGAAAGAAATTCTAAAAGCACAAAAAGATACATAAACATCCTTAGATAATGAAATACTAGGGCGATTAAATATTAATGCCCTATGCATGCAATTAGCCCCATTTGCTTTAAAGTTATGTCTATGGAGGTAATGAGTGAGGATAATTTAATAAGAGGATGATAAATTTATTTCATGTAGACATGCAATCTGAATCATGCTGGTCAAATTTCTCTATAAAATGCATTTTTTAGATAGCATTATCAAGATCATCTTTCAATATAACCCTGATTTTTAAAAATATATAATACTGTGACCACTCTCTAACAAATATTCCAGCACCTTTATAAGCATTTAAATGGTATTAAGTTTTAAAATATATTGTTACTCGTCCAAATAAAATAAAATGCAGCCAGCTGCCAGATGCTATGGGAGTTTAGATGCTGTAGTGCTTTTATGAAGGAGCCATAAATTGCCTACAGATTGTGTCTTTGTTTTCTTTGAAAGGAGTAGATTCTAGAGACAAAATTTCCAAAGGAACTTTTGCTTGATATTTGTTCCTAAAAGAATCAAGAGCCTATAGCTTAATGAATAAACCCCCACACAGGTTATCAATATGTAATAGTTTCTGTCCCTTTCACAGTACAACTAATCAATAAATAGCACACAGTACAATTACACTTAGGTGGAAGAGAAGAGACATAAAATAGGCCACCCACAAAATAACCTCATTCACCAGAGAAATGATATAGTTCTTTGGAAATGAGAAATGCCCTGCCTTGCAAAGAGTCTTCATGTCAAAAAATATATATTGATAGAAAAGGAAACTGGCTTTGCAGAAAATTACTAAATTAGGAAACCTGGCACCCATGACACCCACCTAGAATCTCTAATGTGCTCCAATTTCTATAGCCTTTTTAAATATGATCATTGAGATACCGCCTCCTCCTCAGATCATCAATATTTCTCAACTCCCATATCCAGCACAATCCAATAAATTGCCTTTGTCAGTATTGTATATCATTCTCACTAGAATGTAAGCACCACCAGAAGGATTTGCTTCCATTCTGCTGATGTATCATGAGCTCCAAAACAGTGCATGAACATAGTGATGCTTACAAAGTATTTATTGATAAATATTCTGCATCTTCTTATTTTCTGATTAGGCATGAATTCATAGAGACTGAATTATGCTATGTGTGTCTGAAATTCTAATTTTTGTTTACTTCCAAGGATTCTTTTTACTATTTATGTGCCTTGGATTTCCTGTTTTCAAGGATTTGATTACCAAATGGCATATAGTAAATAACAGTGTTCTATTTGCGTATGTGTCTGCGTGTGTATAAACTGTTCATCAAAAATAAACATGAGATAAAGAATGCCACCATATTGCATTGATGCATAATTTTAGCCCAAACAAGAAATATGGCTCAATAGACACTGTTGCATTATTTTGAGTAAATATATCAATCCTATTTATTAGACTTTCTGAACTAATGAGACTATTTCATGAACTTTACTACTTTAATGGGCCTGTGAGTTTGGGAACTATTGCATTGGTCTATGTCAGTGGATCAGAGATACTATGTATATAAAAATTTCTGTCACAGTTTCATACATTTACAATGAAATGTCAACTTTGAACAACTGTGAATAGATGTAACTATTATTTTTCATACTGATATAGAGGGAACAGAAAAGTTATGTGCAGTATTTTTTTTTTTTTTGCCTTTGTGGAGAACAGGCCTTTCCTTGCCTATGTGGAGTTCATAAAATAGCAATAAAAATTAGTCATAAATTGGGTCTGGTATTAATGTCAATTAGCATCCCAATGACATAATGACTGTGGTAAAACATTTAAACTTTATTGACATCAATAGCTATTATCAAGTCAGTTTTATTGATATAATAAAGAGGGCTGGATTTCAAAAAGCCCCCAGTAATTGCTGACACTGTGTCAGGAACCCTCCAGAATACATTGGCAGAACACAGGCATACAAAACATCAGCAGGTCAGAATATTGCTTCTATGGTTTATTTGTCCCCACCAAAACTCATGTTGAAATTTGATCCCCAATTGTGGTGGTGTTGGGAGATGGAGCCTGGTGGGAGGTGTTTGGGTTATAGGGTGCATCCCTCATGCATGGCTTGGTGCTGTTTTCACAGTAGTGAGTTCTCACTTTTGTGAGACTGGATTCGTTTTCGAGGCAGTGGGGTGTTATAAAGCCAGGACATCCCTCAGGTTTCCATCTCTTCCTGTACCTCCAATTCCCCTTTCACCTTCTCCATCATATGAGCAGCATGAAAGAGCTCACCAGAAGCTGGGGACATGCCCTTGAGCTTCTCAGCCTTCAAATCATGGGCTACATATAAGCCTCTTTCCTTTATAAATTACCTAGTCTCAGATATTCTTTTACGGCAACACAAAATGGACTGTCTTATTTTGGTGTAATTGGTCAAAATAAATGAAAAATGTTTACTAAGCACTAACTATGAAGTCAGCATCTACTAGAAGTTAATAGAGGATAAAAAAGAAATAGACATCATGGCCCCCATCTCAAGTTGGGTATGATCTGGTTGAGGAGATGAGGAAATCAGACCTAAAGAATTTCAGAATGTCTTGCTTGCTTTTCCCCCATGGAGTCCCAGATATCCTCTTTCCAGCTGCTCACAGTTAGATCTCCTCATGATCCTCCCTCTCTACTGCCACAGACAAAATCTGTCTCCTCCCTTTGCTGTGACTGGTCTTGCCTTCTCAGAGGCATCCTCACCACCACCAGTACAGTTAGCCTAAAACTTGGATCTAGGTCACTCTCTTCACTAAAACATTTCAATGACTCCCAGCTTTTAGTTGTTTTAACAAATTCCTTAGCACTGACATAGGCCCCTATAAGACTTAGTTGCTCTCCTATTTCTACAAAATCATTTCCTAAGATTCCTTACATTCTTCTTTATAAATTTTACAGTTTTCATTTTAATTTTGTTGTTGCTTTTTATTTAGCACTGGAATACAGATCCTACCCCCAAACCAAGCTGCCTATTTCAACTTTGCTGTCATTTATTGGAGTTCTGATTTGGGCTGCTGAGCAAGAGGTACTTGATTTAGTCACTTTTTCTGTCCCCACATAATACTGTAGTTACTACGATGCTTTCAAGTATGATGACCATACCCTTCCCAGTGGAATACAAGTTCTTTGGGGCCGGTAACTGAGCAATTTTCTGTGTACTAATAATTGTCTATATCCAAGTATAACATATTAATGGGTGGTGGCTTTTGATACCTTAGAATCATAAATTCTCAGAATCACACATTTTAAGAGAATTTTTAGAAATTATTTGCTTCAACATAATTTTTTAGATAAGGAAATGAGATCCAGAAAGGTTAAATGACTTGCCCAAGGTGATAGTTACTTACCAGCAAGTTACAGAAGTGGAGATTGTCACCCTTTAATATTGTTCTTAGGTTATAATACAGAAAAAAATAAATTCAAGTAGAAATTTTAATTGCATAGAAATAGGTAAGTAGGTAGATAGGAGTACAGATTAACAGAACAAACAGAAATGCAATACTACTAAATAATAATTATAATTATGGTTTTAAACAATGTATGAGCTCAAAATCAGTTATTTCTACATTAAGCTTCAGCTCAGAGTGAACACTAGATTATAGCACAATTTTATAAAATTATAACATTATTGAACCAGGAAAAGATTAACATAAAAGATGAGTACTTCAGGTGTCACACTGTCAACTACCACTTAATTTACCAGCAGGTGCTGCCAAATGCTACTGCCAGAGTACAAAAATAAATATATAAATAAATAAATAAACTTAAAAAAATGTGACTAGTCATGTAAAGGTAAAACCTTTAGGAAAAAAACCTTGAGAGGCCTAATATGAGAAAAGTTTATCAACCAGTTATGGGCTCTAATTCCATTCCTGCCTCCAGCAGGGGGTCTTACACAGCTCCCCTCACAGTATTTATCACATGCCAGACTTGCAAGGATCATTGAGCAAAGAACCATCAGATAATATTTCAGAGATGTGAGCATGAGCAAACTACATTAAAAAATCAGATGAGTCCAGCCGGGCTCAGTGACTCACGCCTGTAATCCCAGCACTTTGGGAGGGCAAGGCGGGTGGATTGCCTGAGCTCAGGGGTTCGAGACCAGCCCAGGCAACATGGTGAAACCCCGCCTCTACTAATATACAAAAAATGAGCCAGGCATGGCAGTGTGCACCTGTAGTCTCAGCTACTCAGAAGGCTGAGGCAGAATTGCTTGAACCTGGGAGGTGGAGGTTGCAGTGAGTCGAGATCACGCCACTGCATTCCAGCCTCGGTGACAGAGCGAGACTCCATCTCCAAAAAAAAAAAAAAACAAACAAACAAAAAACCACAAAAAAAATTAGATGGCTGTCCCCTGCCATTCCCTAGCATTTAGAGACAGCCTTAGAGGGAAAGGGGTGTAGAGTTAGAGTGGCTGAGATTTGTTTTGGTTTGTTGTTTTGTTTTCATCCTGACTGAATGACAGGGTATTGTGCAGCTCTGGGAGACACTTTTCATAACAATGTCTATATGTGGGGTTTACCTGCTGGAGTTTTGCACTACACAGGAATTGGCAAAGGGCTCTGAGAAAGGGTGCTCAAAATAGTCATTCAACTTTAGAAAAGAAGTTTCCAGCAATCTCAATTCTAAGTATCCAGTGAAATTCAAATCAGAATCTCAAAGAGATATTAGCACTCCCACGGTCACTGAAGCACTATTCACAATAGCCAAGATGTAAAAACAACCTAAATGTCCTTTGACAGATGAATAAAGAAAATGTGGTATATACATGCAATGGAATATTATTCAGCCTTAAAAACAAGGAAATACTGCAGTATGTGATGACATGCATGAACCTTGAGGATATTATCCTAAATGAAATAAGCCAGTCATAGAAAGACAAAGGAGGTATCTAAAATATTCAAATTCAGAGAATCAAAGAGTGGCTGCTGGAGCACAGGTGGAAGGGGAATGGGGACCTACTGATCAAGAAGCGTAAAGTTTAAGTTAAGCAAGAGATCTGCTCTACGAGATTATACTTAAACAATACTATATTGTACACTTAAAATTTGTTAAGAAGGTAGATCTCAGGTTGTGCTCTTACCAGAATAAAATAATTTGTTTTACAAAAAAAGCTTCTATTTCTTCGGTATGTAAACCTAAATCCCCAGCTACTACACTTCAGATTTGAAATGAATTTTGAATTGTTCTGATTAAATTATTTCATCATAAAATCACCATGGACTCTGACCTACAGATGGGCTCCCTCACTGCTACTGAGAACTCCAAACTTCTGCCAGCTATACTGCTGCCTTCCAGACAGATACTTTGTCTGGATGAGATCTCAGTATCAAAAGTAAATGGATACAGCTTAAGTGTCTTTCCAAGCCAAATGTTGGACTCATCACAACTAGAAGAAAATGGTTATACTAATTTCTTCCATGAGCTCCAAGAAACTGATTTAGTCTTCTATCTTGCTGAGACTGTGTTGGTTTTCTATTGTTCAGGACACAGATATGCAAAATATCCATGTTTACCTTGGCCTCTAAAACTCCATGTCTAGTTAATTAGCAAGTGTAGTTCAGCAGTCTAGCATGGAGCACTGATGATGCATTATGCATAAATCTGCACCTACCTCCCTTTGCACTCATCCTCCCTGCGTACATGGAACAGTAGCTCACTCCTCCACTATTTCCTAATCCCAGGCTTTTGATTCTGTTACTTTAAATGAATATGAAAAACAAATGACTTGCTATCTTTCTGTTTTTAAAGGCACTTCAAAGTCACAACTTCCACTTTATATGGAAGTTACCACATAAATCTCCTCTCCTGTTATTCATCTGAATATCTTCTTCTTTAACTTTCTGCGTGTCCTTTCCTAATCTATGCCGTGTTCAAAAGTATCCTCTACTGATAATGTACTCTTGATGGATCTGCACTAGTCTATTCCAGCCCTATATAAATCTTGTTTGAGCAATAAAAGTATTCATAAGATCCTTCCCTGAATATATTACATTGAATCTAAACTTTGACACATTTCCCCATTTTTCATCAATCGTTTCCCTCAAATTTAAAAACATTTCTATTTAACAAAATGGCAACAAGCACTTTCATTCTTCGTATTCATTTAATTTCATTTTTTGTATTCTCAACAAAACAGAAACAAGCACTTTCATTATTCCCAGATGTAATAATTTTCAAACCAATATTTCTGTTTTTTATATTAATAAACCTTTCCACATTATTATTATTATTATTATTAGAGATGGAGTTTCGCTCTTGTTGCCCAGGCTGGAGTACAATGGCCTGATCTCGGCTCACTGCAACCTCCGCCTTTTGGTTTCAAGCGATTCTCCTGCCTCAGCCTCCCGAGTAGCTGGAATTACAGGCGCTTGTCACCACACCGGGCTAATTTTTGTATTTTTAGTAGTGACGGGGTTTCACCACGTTGGCCAGGCTGGTCTTGAACTCCTGACCTCGTTATCTCCTTGCCTCGGCCTCCCAAAGTGCTGGGATTACAGGCGTGAGCCACCGTGCTCAGCCTACACGGTATTATTTTAAGGCTAAATAAAATTTCTTCTAAATTTCCTATTAATTTGACCTCAAGCTTTTAATTATATGTCTTTACTTTTATTGTGTTTTAATGTTGTGTTTATCATTTAACTTCCTTAAAGCAGTATATTTATATATTCTTAATTTTATTTTTCTCATGCAAAGCACTGATAGCATTATTTTTCTGCAAGTACAGTAGCAACAATTATACGGAGATTTGTCAGCTTCATTTTATCCTTGTGTTTTTACAACTAACTTGAACTCATAGTTCTGTATTTTATAAATTAACCAAAAATATTAAAACTCAGTTCCATAAGAGATACTCAGAAGTATTCCCTTCTAAATGGATAACAACATGAAAGTAATTCCTAGATCTTTAAGAGAAGCAGTTAAGATAACCAGCCAACTACATTCTGTGTGACATTCTATATTATTTCCTTCAACTCCTTTAGCAAAGCTACTGGTAAAGATATACATTTTAGGGCTTACTTATGAGACGTTCATTTTTAAAGGAACAAATTACATAGCCTCTACTATTGTTAATTCACTATGCAACAGACTAATTGTTGATTAGAGTTGTGCAGTGTTGAAGAACAGGAGCTTTAAAGCTAATTGTGCCTGAGTCCAAATACTAGCGTGCGCATGCGCGCTCTCTCTCTCTCTCTCTCTCTCTCTCTCTCACTTGCTGTGAAACCATGAATATATATTAGCCTCCCTAAACTTTAGTTTCCTATCTATGAAATGGAGTGATGGTAGTACCTACCTTATAAGGTTACTAATAGGATTAGATGAAATAATTTATGTAATGGAATTAGCAAATTACATATACTAAGTAATGCATATTCATTAAAAATAGTTCATATTCCTAAATGAATTTCAAAGCATCACTTATAAAATATTAAATCTATGTTGAAAATTATGAATGGAGAACTAATTTTAGGTAGATAATTTTAGCAACATTAGGGTTTCCCTCCTGAAAATTTCTGATATTAAGGATAGTATGACGAAACCAGTATTCTGCTGCTTTTCCCTAGTTCTAATGTCAAATATGCTATTCAGTTTTATATTTTCTAGCACATTTTATTACAAACCACCATAGCCAGAAACACTCTCACTCTCATTAATTACATATTTAGTGGTTCAGGATAAATTAGATATAACTCTAACAAAATAATATTAGTTGAATTATGATGACATACTTTTAAAATCTAAGGCTGAACCCTGGGTGAATCACTTTATAATTTCCAGTACATTTAATTCCACATGTTTAAACGTCAGGTCTGTATAATTGTGAACATTTTAATGACTAATATTGCTGGATAGGTTTTAAATTAATACACTAACAATGTTTTCCCTCAAGACTACTATTAAGAAATAATTGATGTTTTAGAGTCATCCATCCTCTCTATTTCAGATTTTGAAAAATGTTAATATATAACTCTATATAAAGCTTATAATATTTATATGACATGATTTTAAAGTCTCTTCTCCATTAATAAATATTATATTCAGAGTATCCTTTTGTTTCACATTTTAATTATTTGATCTTGCACACCCCTTTTGCTTTAAATTGTTATTACCCGGCTATATAACCAACTTTACATATCAATGATTTACCACCCTTGTAAAAGTTCAAAACTCAAACTTCATAAAAAGAGGAATTTTGTTTTAGTTTACTGCTATAACTTCAGCATCTAAAATAATGCTTAATGTATACTAGGCACTCAGTGAGTGTACATTAAATAAATATTAATCCAACATTTATGAGTTCAAATACCACATCCTCTTCCAAGTGGAACCTTATCAGCAGTGATACCTAGAAATACATTTGGTATATTCAGCCCCTATGACTCAGGATTTCACAGTAAGTTTGCTACCTAAAAGACAGAAAATATAATTATTTCATTTGTTTGACAACTAAAAAACTATAGCCGATATAGTTATCTTAGAAATGCATTTGATATACAGCAGGTTTTTAAAGTATGGGTACATTGAAAATTGTAAAGCCTGGCTAAAATATATTAAAGAAAACATAAATAGAGATATATCATCTCCATTGAACTGAAGAATCAATATTGTTAAAATTGAATTTTTTTCCCAAGTTGATTTATAGATTTAATGCAATCCCTCCCACTCCTAAAAAAATCCCAGGAGACTTTTTAACAAGAAATTTATATGTTGATTCTAATATTTGTATGGAAATGAAAAGATCTAGAATAACTAAAATAGTTATCAAAAAATAGGACAAAATTAGGGAACTTATGCTACAGTTGCCTCTTGGTATCCATGGGAAATTGGTTCTAGGACCTCCCATGAATACCAAAATCAGTAGATGCTCAAGTACTTCTTATAAAATGGCACAGTAATTGCATATAACGTATGTACATCTTCCCATATATTTTAAATCATCTCTAGATTACTTATAATACCTAATACAATGTAAATGCTATGTAAATAGTTGTTATACTGTATTGTTTAGAAAATAATAAGAAAAAAGTCAGTACATGTTCAGTGTACACAATTTTTTTCAAGTATTTTTGATCCACATTTGGTGAATCCAAAGCTTTGGAGCCCAAAGATATGGAGAGCTGACTGTAATTGATTTCAAGGCTTAGTATGAAGCTATAATATTCAAGACAATATGGTATTGGCATAGCAATGTCCAGAGAGGAATGGAATGGAATAGAGTTCAAAAATACACTCATACACATATGATAATTGATTTTGAACAAAGGTGTAAGGTTATTCAATGGGGAAAGAATATTAACATGTAGTAATGGAAAAATTATATATCCACTTTGAAAAAAGTAAACCTTGATTCTTATATTCTATCTCACACAAAAAATAGCTTGATGTGCATCATAGTCCTAAAACTATAGGTTAAACTAGAAAATGTCTAGATGAAAATATGGCAGAAAATTTTTGTGATGCTGGGATAGGCTCAAATTTCCAAAGTAGGACTTAGAAAAGTACAGATTAAAAAGAAAAACATAATAAATCAGACTTCATCCAAAAACAAAACTCAGTTAAAAAATGAAAAGCTAAAGAATAAACAAAACACACTACATATATTTGACAGATGACTTGTATCCAAACTGCATAAAGAAATCTTACAATTTAATTGTAAGAATACAACCAACCCAACAATGAGAAGATTTGAACAAAAAGTTATTAAACTAAGATATACAGAAAGAGGCTCAACATCATCAGTCATCAGGTAAATGGAAATTAAAACCACAATGAGATACTACTGCACACTTATTAAAATAACTAAAATTAAAATTAAAGTCTGACGATACTGTGTATTGATGAGGATGTAAAGTAGGTGGAGTTATCATACACTGCTGGCAGGAATGCAAAACTGCACCGTCACTTTGGTAAAAAGTTTAACAGTTTCTAATATTTAACAGTTTCTTAGTATCTAAATAGTATACATACACACACACACACACACACACTGCTTTTCACAGTGGCTGAACTAATTTACATTTCCATCAACAGCGTATAAACATTCCCTTTTCTCTGCAGACTTGTATGTTGTTTTTTGAGTTTTTAAAAACAGCCATTCTGACTAGTGTGAGATGGTATCTCATTGTGGCTGATTCTTGTTTTGTGATGATTAGTGATGTTGAGCACGTTTTCATATGTTCATTGGCTGCCTGTGTGTCATCTTTTGAGAAGTGTCTGTTCATATCTTTTGCCCACTTTCTATGCAGTTATTTGGTTTTTAAGTGTTGAATTGTTTAAGTTCCTTATAAATTCTGCATATTAGACATTTGCTGGATGCATAGTTTGTGAATATTTCCTCCCACTCTGTAGGTTATCTGTTTACTCTGTTGACAGATTCTTCTGCTCTGCAGAGGCTGTTTGGTTTAATTAGGTCCCACTTGTCAAACTTTGTTTTTGTTGCAATTGCTTTTGAGCACTTAGTCATAAATTCTTTCTCAAGGCTGATGTCCAGAATGGGGTTTCCTAAGCTTTCTTGTAGGATTCTTATAGTTTGAGATCTTACATTTAAATCGAATCCAACTTAATTTTTGTATATGGTGAAAGCTAGGGGTCCAGTTTCATTTTTCTGGATATACCTAGCCGGTTATCCCAGGACTATTTAATGACTAGGGAGTTCTTTCTCCACTGCTTATTTTTGTCAGCCTTGAAGATCAGATGGCTGTAGACATGTAACTTTATTTATGGGTTCTCTATTCTGTGCTATTAGTCCATATGTCTGTTTTCTACCAGTATGATGCTGTTTTGGTTGCTCTAGCCTTACAGTATATTTTGAAATTGAATAATGTGACGCCACTGGCTTTGTCCTTTTTGCTTAGGATTGCTTTCACTATTCACGCTGTGTTTTGGTTACATATGAATTTTTTAAGTGTTTTCTAACTTTGGAAAATGACATTAGTAGTCTGATAAAAATAGCATTAAACCTATATATTGCTTTGGGCAGTATGGCCATTTTAAAGATATTAATCCCTTCAATTCATGAGCATGAAATGTTTTTTCATTTGTTTCTCATCTGTGATTTTTTTCAGCAGTGTTTTGTAGCCATCCTTGTAGAGATCTTTCACCTCCTTGATTAGATCTATTCCTAGGTATGTAATTCTTTTTGTGGCCATTGTACATGGGATTGTGTTCTTGATTTAGCTGTCAGCTTGAATGTTATTATTGTATAGAAATGTTACTGATTTTTGTACACTGATTTTTGCATCCTGAAGCTTTAATGATGTCCTTTATTAGTTCCAAGAGCTTTTGGCAGTCATTAGAATTGCTAGGTATAGAATCATATCATTAGCAAAGAGAGATAGTGTGTCATCTTCTTTTCCTATTCGGATGACTTTGCCAGGTTTGGGTATCAGGGTGATGCTGGTTTCATAGAATGAGTTAGGGAGGAGTCCTTCCTCCTTAGTATCAAATTGGTACCAATTGTACCTTATACCTCTGGTACAATTTGGCTGTGAATCCATCTGGCCCAGGGCTTTTTTTTTTTTTTTTTTTTTTTTTTTTTTTTTTTTACCAACAGGTTTTGTATTGATGATTCAATTTCAGAACTTGATATTGGTCTGTTCAGGTTTTTAGTTTCTTCCTGACTCAGTCTTGGGAAGTTGTGTTTCCAGGAATATACCCATTTCCTCTAGATTTTCTCGTTTGTGTGTACAGAGGTATTCATAATAGTCTGTGAGATATTTCTGTGGGATTAGTTGTAATGTCACTTTTATTATTTCTGATTGTGCTTATTTGGATCTTCTCTCTTTTTTCTTTGTAAATCTAGCTAGCAGTCTATCGATCTAGCTTATCCTTCTAAAAAGAAACTTTTGGCTTCATTGATTCTTTGTATACATTTTTGGTTCTCAATTTATTCAGTTATTCTCTGATTTTATTTCTTTCTTTTCTTCTGCTAGTTTTGCGGTTAGTTTGTTTTTTTTTTAAGTTTCCTCTAGTTCCCCTAGGTGTGATGTTAGATTGTTAATTTGAGATCTTTATAACTTTTTGAGGTAGGCATTTAATGCTATAAACTTTCCTCTTAACATTGTTTTTGCTGCATCCCAGAGATGTCTCTGTTTTGATTTCTTTGCAAATCTTTTTTTCTGTCTTAATTTCATTGTTTTCCCAAAAGTCATCCAGGAGCAAGTTGATTAATTTCCATGTGATTGTGTGGTTTGAGAGATCTTCTTTTTTATTGATTTCTATTTCTATTTCAGTATTTATTCCACAGTGAATCATTTCTATTATTCAACAGTGGTACAAGAGTATGATTAGTATTATTTCAATTTTCTAAAAGTTATTGTGACAGGCTTTATGGCTGAGCATGTGTCCACTCTTAGAGTATATTTCATGTAAAGAGGAGAAGAATATTATCTGGTTGACACATGGAGTATTCTGGAGATGTCTATGAGGTCCAATTGGCCAAGCATCAAATTTAAGTCCAGATTATCTTTGTTAGTTTTCTGCCTCCATGACATAACGCTGTTCATGGGGTGTTAAAGTCCCTCAGTATTATTGTCTGGGTATCTATGTCTTTAGAACATCTAGAAGTATTTGTTTCGTGAATCTGGGTGTAGAACGTGCAGGTTTGTTACATACGTATATACGTGCCATGGTGGTTTGCTGTACCTATCAACCCATCATCTAGGTTTTAAGCTCCTCATGCATTAGGTATTTGTTCTAATGCTCTCCCCCTCCCCTTAAATAGTCCTTAAATGGGGAAATTTTTTTCTTTTTCTTTTTTCTGTTTTTTTTTTTTTGAGACGGAGCCTCGCTCTGTCACCTAGGCTGGAGTGCAGTGGCGCCATCTGGGCTCACTGCAACCTCCGCCTCCTGGGTTCAAGTGATTCTCCTGCCTCAGCCTCCCAAGTAGCTGGGGTTACAGGTGCCCGCCACCATGCCCAGCTAATTTTTGTATTTTTTAGTAGAGACGGGGTTTCACCACGTTGGCCAGGCTGGTCTTGAACTTCTGACCTGAGGTGATCCACCCACCTCCCATCTCGGCATCCAAAGCGCTGGGATTATAGGCGTGAGCCACCACACCTGGCCTTAAATAGTGTCATTCCTTTCAAGTCCTTTTGTTACAATGTTGATGAGGGAAAAACACTGGTTTTGATATGCATCATTTCACTTAAAGTCACAGTTTTCAAGAACTTATAGATTTATAGTACATAAAGTGAGGACTTACCATACCCAGTAATAACATTTTAAATTCAAATTCTCTCTGGCAAACCCAACATTTGAAAGTTTGAAATTGAATAATGTTTTTGTCCTGAAATTAGGTGGCATAAACAGCTTTTTAAGCTTGTTTTTATTTTTAATTGACAAATAATAATTGTGTTTATGTATGAGATACAATGTGATCTACATATACCTCATAGAAAGATTCACTCAAGCTAATTAACAATCCACTGCCTCACTAATTTATCATTTGTTTGTGGAAAGAATGTTTAATATCTATTTTAGCAATTTTGAAATGTACAACATATTAACTATGGTCACCATGCAGTGCAATAGATCACTAAAACTTATTTCTCTAGTCTAACTGAAATTTTGTACCTTCTGATCAACATCTTTCCTTTCCCCATGTCTTCCCTACCTGCCAGCCTTAGGAAACCACCTTTCTACCCTCTGTTTCTATAAGATCAATGTGGATAGATTGCACATAAAAGTGAGATAATACAGTATTTGTCTTTCTGTGCCTGGCTTATCTCACTTAGCATAATGTACCCCAGTCCAATCTATATTGTCACAAATGACATAATTTCTTGGTTTTTAAAGGTTGTATAGTATTCCACTGCGTAAATATTCTACATTTTCTTTATTCATGCATCTGTTGATAGACACTTAGGTTGCTTCCATACCTTGGCTACTGTGAATAACGTTGCAATGAACATGAGAGTACAGACATCTCTTTGACAAACCAATTTCAATTATTTTTGATAGGTACCCAGAAATGGGATTGCTAGATCATACAGTAAATCTATTTTTAATTTTTTTGAATAACTTCGACACTATCTTCTACAACGCCTGTACCAATTTATATTCTCACCAACAAAGGTTCCCCTTTTTCTACATCCTCACCAATACTTGTTATCATTTATCTTTTTGATAATACCCATTCTAACAGTCATGAGGTAATAACTCATCGTGCTTTTAATTTGCATTTTCCCTGATGATTAGAGATGGTATTTTTTCATATATCTATTAATCATTCATAGCTCATCTTTTGAGAAATGTCTGTTCAGATCCTTTGCTTGTTTTTAATTGGGTTATTTTCTTGCTACTGAGTTGAGTTCCTTTATATATTTTATGCAAAATAGATACATACAGGGAGCCAATTGTAGTCTCTTATAGAATGTATTGTTTGCAAATATTTTCCCCCAATCCACATGTTGTCTCTTCACTCTGTTAATTGTTTCTTTTGCTATGCAGAAGCTTTTCAGTTTGATGCAATCCCATTTGTTTATTATTGCTTTTGTTGTCTCTGCTTTCACAGTTTTATCCACAAAATGACTGCCCAGACAAATTTAGTAGAGTTTTCCACTATGGTTTCTCCTGGTAAGTCTACAGTTTCACATCTTAAGTTTAAGGCTTTTATCCATTTTGAGTTGACTGTTTGGATATGATGTGAGATAAGGGTCCAATTTCATTCTTTTGCATGTGGATATCAAGTTTTCCCAACATCATTTACTGAAGAGACTGTTCTTTTCCCATTGTATAGTCTTGACACTTTCGTCAAGAGTCAATTAATCTTAAATACTTGAGTTGATTTCTAGGCATTCTATGTGGTCTCATTGGTCAATATCTTTGTTTGTATGCCAGAACCATGGTGTTTTGATTACAAAAGCTTTATGTCATATTTTGGAATCAAGGAGTGGAATGCCTCCACTTTTGTTCTTTTTGATAAGATTGTTTGGGTTTTTAGGGGTCTTTTCTGGTTCTATAAAATTTTATGAATTTTTTTTTGTATTTCAGTAAAAAAAATGACATTGGAATTCTGACAGAAATTACATTGAATCTATAGATCACTTTGGGTAGTACAGACATTTAAACAACATTCATTCTTTCAACTCACAAACATCTATTTGTATCTTCTTCAATTTCTTTCATTAAAGTTTTATAATTTTCAATATACAAACCTTCTACCTCCTTGGTTAAATTTACTCCTAAGTAAATTTATTTTATTTAATTTTATTTTTGATTCTATTGTAAGTAGAATTATTTTAATTAATTTTTAATATCTTGTCGTTAGTGTGTAAAACACTTCTGACTTTTGTATATTTACTGTAACCTGCAATGTTACTGAATTTATTAGTTCTAACAATTTTTTGGTGGAGTCTTTGGGGTTTTCTGTATATAAGATCCTGTCATCACCAAATACAATTTCACTTCTTCCTTTTACATACGGATGCCTTTTATGTCTCTTTCTTGCCTAATTGTTGTTGCTAGGACTTCCACTATTAGGGTGTGCAGAAATGGCAAGAGGGGGCATCCTTGTTTTATTCCTAATATTAGTGGAAAAGCTTTCAACTTTTCACCATTTAGTATGATTTTAGATGTGGGCTTGTTACAGGTTTGCTAATTTGAAAAAGTTGAAGAAGTTGGGTGAGATTAGTGCCTTGAAATTAGAAAAAGCCTCTAGACAAAATAAGTCAAAAAGATGTTCGAGAATCATAGCCTATTTTAATATTTCTTTGCATTATCCCTACAGGCATTTTTATGAAAGTAACACAATGGACTTGCACTTTGGAAAAACATATTTAAAAACAATTTTAGTTGTGTATAACAAATCCATTAAAATATTCAGAAAAAAGTTAATACAGCAACTTAGTTTTCAATTGAAACAGAAAAATAAACTCACAAACAGAAGTTAAATTACTGGTAAGTACAAAGAAGAAAGAGAATTAATTAGTGGTTGAAGAATTTTAAGTAACTTTAGGCCAATTTTGAGCCAAAACATATAAAGTTTGCGATTGGATTATAATGCTTGTCTTTTTCACGATATTGATTCTTCCTACCCATGAGCGTGGAATGTTCTTCCATTTGTTTGTATCCTCTTTTATTTCCTTGAGCAGTGGTTTGTAGTTCTCCTTGAAGAGGTCCTTCACGTCCCTTGTAAGTTGGATTCCTAGGTATTTTATTCTCTTTGAAGCAATTGTGAATGGGAGTTCACTCATGATTTGGCTCTCTGTTTGTCTGTTATTGATGTATAAGAATGCTTGTGATTTTTGTGCATTGATTTTGTATCCTGAGACTTTGCTGAATTTGCCTATCAGCTTCAGGAGATTTTGGGCTGAGATGATGGGGTTTTCTAGATATACAATCATGTCATATGCAAAGAGGGACAATCTGACTTCCTCTTTTCCTATTTGAATACCCTTTATTTCTTTCTCCTGCCTGA
This sequence comes from Homo sapiens, assembly GCF_000001405.40. Lineage (NCBI taxonomy): Eukaryota > Metazoa > Chordata > Mammalia > Primates > Hominidae > Homo > Homo sapiens. The sequence continues at coordinate 53,047,288 of NC_000002.12, forward strand.
TTGCCCTGGCCAGAACTTCCAACTCTATGTTGAATAGGAGTGGTGAGAGAGGGCATCCCTGTCTTGTGCCAGTTTTCAAAGGGAATGCTTCCAGTTTTTGCCCATTCAGTATGATATTGGCTGTGGGTTTGTCATAGATAGCTCTTATTATTTTCAGATACATCCCATCAATACCTAATTTATTGAGAGTTTTTAGCATGAAGCATTGTTGAATTTTGTCAAAGGCCTTTCCTGCATCTATTGAGATAATCGTATGGTTTTTGTCGTTGGTTCTGTTTAAATGCTGGATTACGTTTATTGATTTGCGTATGTTGAACCAGTCTTGCAACCCAGGGATGAAGCCCACTTGATCATGGTGGATAAGCTTTTTGATGTGCTGCTGGATTCAGTTTGCCAGTATTTTATTGAGGATTTTTGCATCAATGTTCATCAGGGATATTGGTCTAAAATTCTCTTTTTTGGTTGTGTCTCTGCCAGGCTTTGATATCAGGATGATGCTGGCCTCATACAATGAGTTAGGGAGGATTCCCTCTTTTTCTGTTGATTGGAATAGTTTCAGAAGGAATGGTACCAGCTCCTCCTTGTACCTCTGGTACAATTCGGCTGTGAATCCATCCAGTCCTGGACTTTTTTTGGTTGGTAAGCTGTTAATTATTGCCTCAATTACAGAGCTTGTTATTGGTCTATTCAGAGATTCAACTTCTTCCTGGTTTAGTCTTGGGAGGGTGCATGTGTCGAGGAATTTATCCATTTCTTCTAGATTTTCTAGTTTATTTGCATAGAGATGTTTATAGTATTCTCTGATGGTAGTTTGTGTTTCTGTGGGATCAGTGGTGGTATCCCCTTTATCATTTTTTATTGCATCTATTTGATTCTTCTCTCTTTTCTTCTTTATTAGTCTTGCTAGCAGTCTATCAATTTTGTTGATATTTTCAAAAAACTGGCCCAAGGTAATTTACAGATTCAATGCCATCCCCATTATGCTACCAATGATTTTCTTCACAGAATTGGAAAAAAGTACTTTAAAGTTCATACGGAACCAAAAAAGGGCCCACATTGCCAAGTCACTCCTAAGCCAAAAGAACAAAGATGGAGGCATCATGCTACCTGATTTCAAACTACACTACAAGGCTACAGTAACCAAAACAGCATGGTACTGGTACCAAAACAGAGATATAGACCAATGGAACAGAACAGAGCCCTCAGAAATAATGCCACATATCTACAACCATCTGATCTTTGACAAACCTGACAAAAACAAGAAATGGGGAAAGGATTCCTCGTTTAATAAATGGTGCTGGGAAAACTGGCTGGTCACATGTAGAAAGCTGAAACTGGATCCCTTCCTTACACCTTATACAAAAATCAATTCAAGATGGATTAAAGACTTAAATGTTAGACCTGAAACCATAAAAACCCTAGAAGAAAACCTAGGCAATACAATTCAGGACATAGGCATGGGCAAGGACTTCATGTCTAAAACACCAAAAGCAATGGCAGCAAAAGCCAAAATTGACAAATGGGATCCAATTAAACTAAAGAGCTTCTGCACAGCAAAAGAAACTACCATCAGAGTGAACAGGCAACCTACACAATGGGAGAAAATTTTCACAATCTACTCATCTGACAAAGGGCTAATATCCAGAATCTACAATGAACTCAAACAAATTTACAAGAAAAAAACAAACAACCCCATCAAAAAGTGGGCGAAGGACATGAACAGACACTTCTCAAAAGAAGACATTTATGCAGCCAGAAGACAAATGAAAAAATGCTCATCATCACTGGCCATCAGAGAAATGCAAATCAAAACCACAATGAGATACCATCTCACACCAGTTAGAATGGCGATCATTAAAAAGCCAGGAAACAACAGGTGCTGGAGAGGATGTGGAGAAATAGGAACACTTTTACACTGTTGGTGGGACTGGAAACTAGTTCAACCATTGTGGAAGTCAGTGTGTCCATTCCTCAGGGATCTAGAACTAGAAATACCATTTGCCCCAGCCATCCCATTACTGGGTATATACCCAAAAGATTATAAATCATGTTCCTATAAAGACACATGCACACGTATGTTTATTGTGGCACTATTCACAATAGCAAAGACTTGGAACCAACCCAAATGTCCAACAATGATAGACTGGATTAAGAAAATATGGCACATATACACCACGGAATACTATGCAGCCATAAAAAATGATGATTTCATGTCCTTTGTAGGGACATGGATGAAGCTGGAAACCATCATTCTCAGCAAACTATCGCAAGGACAAAAAACCAAACACCGCATTTTCTCACTCATAGGTGGGAACTGAACAATGAGAACACTTGGACACAGGAAGGGGAACACCACACAATGGGGACTGTTGTGGGGTGTAGGGAGGGGGGAAGGATAGCATTAGGAGATATACCTAATGCTAAATGATGAGTTAATGGGTGCAGCACACCAACATGGCACATGTATACATATGTAACTAACCTGCACATTGTGCACATGTACCCTAAAACTTAAAGTATAATAAAAAAATAAATAAATAAAAAATAAATAAATAAAATAAAATGCTTGTCTTATTCAACTGAAGTATCCTTCAGCAGGTGAATGGGTAGCCAAATTGTGATACATTTATATAATATACGAATCTTAAATGCATATAGTTGAATTTTTAAAAAATGATTTTAAAAGGCTATGTATTACACAGTTCCATTTACATGACATTCTGGAAAAGGAAAAATAATAGAGATAGTAAGCAGATCAGTTATGGTAGGGATTTGGAGATAAAGGAGTTTTGAACAGATAAAGCACAGGGGATTTGTTTAGTGCAATGAAACTAATCTATATGATATTGTAATGATAGATACATGAGTCTATGCAGTTTTCAAACCCATAGGCATTTATATTACAGTAAACCTTAATGCACGCCTTTTTAAAATTATTTCTTATAAACTCTAGATTATATGCCTATTAAAAAAATTAGGAGGTCAGGGAAACTAAAAAGGAATGCAGACTATGAAAATCATCTAATCATATTACTGATGTATGAAATAACTTCAAAAAGGATAAAAGAAAGAGTTATTGATTTAAGAAACTTTAGAAATAAATGCAGTCTTCAAAAATAAAGGCAAAAGGAACTAATCATAAGAATTGTACTCTAATTGATAAAGTTCTTTCCCATAGGAGTATGAGTAAACATTTCTGGAATGATTATACAGATATACTGTAATTGAACAATTTAGTAAATAGTGGGACCCCAGTTTCTCACTGACAGGCTGGAAGGCCACAGACAAGCAGGGGCAGAAACCTAGAGTAACCCTTGTGGTAATGTGTTAGAGTTGAAGATTTCAGCTTAACTCATGCTTAACTTAATGCGGGTACAAATGAATATATATGGAGAAATATTTATAGATATGTGTGTGTGTACGTGTGTGTGTGTGTATATATATATATATATATATATATATATATATATGATTTAGTATGTACACATGTATTTTCTAGTTCCGTCAGTTAAGAGGGCCTAGAAGGAATGACATTCCAATAGCAATAAGCACACATAACACCAACATCTTGGTTTCTAATATCATACTTTAGTACAACAAACGGCGGCTTCTTGAAGAAATGGCAGATACTAGAACTGGGGCAGGGAACACACAAGATTTGTCTTGAGCATTTATAGTGCTAAGAAGTAAGAAATGTTTTTAAAACGTAAAATAATGGAGTAGGTCAAAGGACATACAAGAGTCAGCTGAAAGAACTCTCAATGACTGAATCTGGAACAATTTGAGCGACAAAAAAACTAATGTATTATATTAATATTATAACATAAATTATAAAATAAATGGCACGAATCCATACTGTTAAAAATAAGTAATTGAATATATAAATGTATGGAGGAGAATAGATACATTTCCCATGCAGAGAAATTCCAAATAATTTATGTAGATACTCCACCTATCCTCAGGGAACTGAAACATTATTTCTCACTCAATTGTGGGCTGAGTAGAATAACTTCCTTTCAAAGAATACAGTATGGAAGTGGGTGAAGGGAAGGGCAACTTTGCAGTGGATAAACCTAATAAACACTACCTTAGCCAGGTGGTAAGATTAACATCAACAGTGATGAGTCATGTTGATAGTATTTATTCTTGAAATAATGTGATAGAAATAGTACTGTATCACTATTGGCTTCCTCCAGAAAATTCATTAGTCAGTTTGCTATTGAATTTAATTTTTATTATCTTTATTATCCATTAGAAGATCAAGGAAAGAAATGAATCAGGATCTGACATTAAAATACCTATTCCTATTGCTTTAACATTATTTTCTTGTTTAGTAATGCCACCAATTTCAGCCACTATACAGTTATAAGTATTTAGTCATAAACTTAATATTAAGAAAAAAATTACTGTGAATTCACAGTAAAAGACGATAAAGTTTTAAGAGATCTTCTAATTATCTTTCCTCTCTCCTTTACTGATTATCTCCACTATAACAACATCCGTTTTCTGAAGAAATTTTTAAATTATGCTATTCACTTGCTTAAAATCTTTCCTGTCTAGCCACTGCCCTTAGTATGAAAAATAGTTGGTATTTTAACATGGGATTCAAAGTTCTCTATAACCTGGCTCTGTTTGGGGTTGAATTATGCCCTCCAAAAACACATGTTGTGGCTCTAACACCAGGTTCCTGTGAATGTGACCTTATTTGAGAATAGAGTCTTTGCAGGTGTAATCAAGTTAAGATGAGGTCATATTGGATTAGTATTGGCCTAACCCAAGGAATTCTGTCCTTAGAAGAAAAGGAAAATTTAGACACAGAAAATAGGGAGAACTCCATGTCATTTAGAAGGCAGAGACTGGAGTGTTGCATCTACAAGCCATGGAACAGCAAGAATTGCAACTACTAGAAGCTTAAAAAAGGCAAAGAAAGGATTATTCTTCAGAATCTTCAAAGAACACATGGCCCTTGCTGACACTTTGATTTCAGATTTCTAGCACACAGAACAGTGAGACAATAACTTTCTGTTGGTTGATGCCTTTCAAGTTTACAGTAATTTGTTATGGCAACACTAGGAAATTAATACAGGCTCTAACTTAACTTTCCAACAACACATTTCAGATTAGAAAGAACTCTTAAATTGAATTTCACTTTCCTTCTTCCTCATTTCCCAAAGAAAAGTTGACTTTCACCATCTAAATCTGATGCCCAACTCTTCTTTTATACCCATCATTCTTCTTCTTGCATGTAATCTTTTATCTGCTCTAAACATCCTTCATATGTCCCCTTGAGCTATTATAGGCTAAACACATACAAATAGCATGATTTCAATATGTATATAAATTATATATAGAAAACAATGGAATGCAATAGACGCATCTCCTAAACATGCAAGTGGTTGAGTAGAAGAACTTGGAGCAATTTTTTTTTTTGGCGGGCGGAGGGGGTCAGGGAGTGAAGGGGTATAATAAAACTTGGTATTGGGTAAGTATTCTCATTGTAGAAATACAAATGCATTTTGGTCTTTACCAGATTTTCTTTTAAATGTCTAGTCATTTTTAATAGGCTGAACTTTTTAGTGCAGTTTTAGGTTCACAGAAAAACTGACAAAAATGTATAGTTTTCACATATCCCCTGCCCCAAACATGCACAGCCTCCCCAGTATCAGTATTCCACACCAGAGTAATATTTTTGTTATAATCGATGAACCAGTATAGAGAAACCATTATCACTCAAAGTCTACAGTTTGCTATAGCGTCCCCTTTTGGTTTTGTACATTCTACGGGTTTGGGGAGATATGCAATGACATATATCCACCATTGTAAGACCAAAGTATTTTCATTGCCCTAAAAATCTTATATGTTCCTAACCTATTCATCTCTCCTTCCCCTCTTCCCTCCTGGCAAATACTGATCTTTTTACTATATTCACAGTTTTGGCTTTTCCAGAATAGCATATATGTGGAATCATAAAGTATGTAACCCTTTCAGATTGGCTTCTTTCACTTAGTAATATGCATTTAATGTTTCTTTATGTCTTTCCGTAGCTCATTTCCTTTTAGCACTGAATAATAATTAATTGTCTGGATGAACCACAGTGTATTCACCCATTTACCTACTGAAGAACATTTTGGTTGTTTTCAAGTTTTGACAATTATGGGTAAAGCTGCTATAAACATCCATGTGCATGTTTTTGTGTTGACATAAGTTTTCAACTTACTTGGAAAAATATCAAAGAATGCAATTGCTGTATCATATGGTAAGAATATGTTTAGTTTTGTAAGAATTTTATCCTAATGTCTTTTCTACATTTCCTTGAAATGTACATTGATGAGTATGTATCATAACAATAATAAGCATTTTAATTAGATACATTTCTTTGAGACAATGTGCTCCTTTAAAAAGGCAAGGTGTGTCACAGTCATCTTTGTTTGTCACCTGATTCCTAATGTGTAGAGATCATTCCATAAATATTCTCTGAATTATTAGATTGAATAGACATTCAAAATTCAATGAATTACAAGGAAAGGTAAGGTGCCTATTCTAAGGACACTTTTGAAAACTAGTGTGTTTCTCTCTCATTACTCCAACAAGTTATAACTCTGAATTTTCAAGTGATGTTTTTCTCAGAGGATGTCCTCAGAGTGGCTTATTTATCATGCACTTGTAACACCCTCTGTTATTGCACATTTTTCAAAATTAAGAGTGTTGGCTGACTGCTTTTTTATCCAATTAAGATTTATAACCTAGAATGTCCATTTCTTTCAGACTCAGAGCCTAGAATATGCTTAATGTTCTGATTCATGTCTTTGTTCATTCAGCTCTAAAAGGTTTGCTGGGATCTACATGGGAAATAAACAGTATCATCAGAGTTCTACAGTTTTAAGAGAATACAGGATGATTCAGATAGAAACAGAATAAAGACTGGGACACTAGGCCATTTGCCAGCATGCTATGAATAACTCTTAACATCTAAGCCACTATATCTTTATTTTTTAAATTTGTTTATTTTTAATTGAAAAGTAATAATTATGTATATTTATGAGGGTACAATGTGATACTTTGATCTATGTACACATTATAGAAAGATTTAATCAAGCTAATTAACATATTCATAACCTCGCCAATTTTTATTTTTATTTTTTTTGCTAAAAATCTAATTTAGCAATTCTTTTAATTCCTGAAAGTGCTACACATTAATTCACTGGCTCCAGACAAAGGCATTAATCAGTGTCAATAAATATTTATTGGACTACTGTGTACAAAGTACTATAGATAATTTAATTTAAAATATTTTGTCCTTGCCTTCATAATACTTTCAACTTCTAAAGAAGGCATAGTTTATGACTGTGAAAAACAAGCCCTGGATAATCACCCATATTTTAAAAAGAAAAGCATCAGCTTTAATAGAAAATTTTGCTTACAGCTGCACAAATGTATTTGGAATTTGTATTGTATCTTTAATCTTTTAACAAGCACCTTTTTTTGAAAGGGGAGAGTACAATATGAATTTTCTTCTCTAAGAAGCAAGGATCATATCTCTTATCTGAATATACATATTTTTAAAGATCAATGAGAAGAGGAGACACAGCGTAGGTAACAGAACAAAGGAAGAGAATGAACCATGAATCAATTACATGAGAGACTTGCAGTGATTATATTGTTACCATGAAGATGTCCTTTTTTCTTGAGAGTCTTGACCAGGCTCTTTGGAAATTTTCCTTACTTACAGACTATTCCTGTTCATTAACCATAATGAGATGAGAATACACTGTCAATAAAGTGTCATCTAAATAAGACTGCCATACAGACAGTTTCTTTAGGTTTTTCAGATGGCCCTTTCTCTGCTTCACCATGAGTAATAATTTGATGGATTGGACCTGTCACTCACCTACAGGTTTATGCATCAAAATGTGTAATTATCTCAAATATTTCCCCTATCTTCTATCTTCTCCAAGTACCTTCCAACTGTGTCCCTTGTCATTTATAAAAATCCCTTGTAACACCTCACTATAAATGTCTTTAGTAATTGATATGGTTTGAATTTGTGTCCCCGCCCAAATGTCATGTCAAATTGTAATCCCCAATGCTGAAGGAGGGCCCTTGTGGGAGCTGATTGGATTATGGGGGCATATTTCCTCCTTGCTGTTCTCATGATAGTGAGTTTTCATGAGATCTGGTTGTCTAAAAGTGTGTAGCACCTCCCTCTTCTTGCTCTTCCTCCTGCTGTGGTCATGTAAGATGTGTCTGCTTCCCCTTCGACTTCAACCATGATTGTAAGTTTCCTGAGACCTCCCAGCCATGCTTCCTGTACAGCCTGCAGAACCATGAGCCAATTAAACCTCTTTTCTTTATAAATTACCCAGTCTGCGGTGGAACTTTATAGCAGTGTGAGAACAAACTAATATAATAATGTATTCCCATTTCTTTTCTTTTTTCTTCCTAAACAACCAGCACTGCTACTTCATCACTATTCAAGCATCCAAACTGACTGTAAAAGCTTCCTGAGACTTCCTTCCCAAGACAAAGCCATGGACAATTACCTTGGGCACGTCTTAGCTGATCAAAGCCGGTCAATTGAAAGCAGAGAGAGCTACTAATATTACTGCTAAAAGAAAGTAGGTTCAGCGTATTTCTTCCTCCTACGTGTTACTTACCACTCCCCGCCACCACCCCCAGCAAAAAGAAACACTTTTTGCAATATATTGCAAAGAATAGAAGCTATACTTTTATTAAACATAGTCAGCCTTTAATAACATTAGGCAACCATAAACACAGGAATGAAGATCTCCATTTCCTTTCTATTACTATTCCTGCAAAACATCCCCATCAAAACTAAATTTAGAGAAAACTCATCTGTTCCAACTTCCACTTTGAGCAAGTAACTAACAATAAAACGAATCCGAAAAGGGATCAAAGAACTTAGTAAAATAAAAGGTATTAGAAAACAAAGAGACAAGATACGGATGAGAATTATGATGATTTCAATGAATATGGCATAATTTAGTTAAGCATGTTCTTTGTAGACATAAAAAGACACAGATATTTTAGGAAAAAGGAAAAACCATGGGGTTTACAAACTGGGATTCTCTTAATTCTAGCTGGAGATAGAAAAGATAACTAACTCCTCTGATTCCACATTCTCATATATAAAATGTAAATAATATTAATAATATTCATCACGAACACTGTTTTTAAGAAAATGTGGCACACATATACCACAGAATACTATGCAGCCATAAAAGGAATGAAATCATGTCCTTTGCAGCAACATGGATGCAGCTGGAGGCCATTATATTCTAAGTGAACAACTCAGAAATAGAAAATCAAATACTGCATGTTCTCATTTACAAGTAGGAACTAAACATTGGGTACACATGGACATAAAGATGGGAACAATAGGAACTAGGGACTCCAAAAGGGAGGAGGGAGGGAGGAAATGGGGGAAAGGTTAAAAAAAAAAATCTACGCCTTGGGTACTATGTTCGCTACTAAGGTGATGTGTGCAGTCAAAGCCCAAACCTCAGTGTCACACAATATATCCATGTAACAAACCTGCATATGTACCCCCTGAACCTAAATGATATTTAAGTAGCTTTAATCTTATAAAGGTGAATGTGGCATAAATCTTATAAACGTGAAAACGCCATCAGTGTCAATTAATATTGTCTACAATATGAGCAAATACCTAAAAGAGAGTCAGCTGTATGAAACAAACTCAATAAATTTTGGTTTTCTTCATAGCATATGAATCTAGAATAAGAAAATTAGAGACTTCAAAATATGAACTTTAAGAAAAGTTATTAGTTTGGCCATTTCTCTATTTTTGTGTTTATTCTAGCAATGGAAAAACTGGGATAAAATTAGAGACTCAGCAACAGTCCTTCTTGAACATTTTTTTTGAAATGAATTTTTTCATTATTTACCATTTGGAGATACAAGTGGGAAATGCACGCATTGAGAGAAAATTTACAAGGATGAATCCTAATAATTGAGGGCAATGTGTACCATCAAGATATTTGGCTACAACTTCTACATGCAATGATTGTCTTCTAATAGAGATTATATTGTCAGGATTGATAAAGTTAATGATTTTGATGGTATTTAAGTGATGTACATAATATTTGAAAACACCTGAATTTATAAAATGGGCTTACTCTACATGAAGTTACAAAATCCCTTTATGCATTCTTCATTGGAAAATTAAAAGATTTTAAGATTTTTATTTTCTAACTTTTTACTTTGAAATAGTTTCATATTTTCAAGAAAGCTACAAAACTAGTAACAAAGAATTCCTTTATAAATAATTGAATAAATAAGCTAAAGGGAAAAAGGAACACTCTTTTTTAAAGCAGAATTCCAATTAATAACTGCAGAAGGAATGACAATAGAAAATGACCATTTGGCAAACACCACAGAAATAATTATTGTAAACTGTGATTCATGGGCAAATATATGATCAGAAATACTATATTTTCGTAATCTCAAAGGACTTATAAATTGCATAATAAAAAACAATTTATTAACAAAACCTAAAGACCCCACCTCAACTAAGAGATCAAAGTTGGCATTATCAACCATGAGAAATATGGATTTCATGTAATCCTTGATATGATACACTGAGAAGGGCATAGCATCACTTTTGGGATACTCTTGCCAAGAATAAGATATCTTAAATGCAGCAAAAATATTCTCCTGGTACTATGTGGGGAAAAAAAGGCATTTCACAAGAATCTCAAGATTTCTTTCGAATCATCTCTCAATGTATAATATGTAATTGAGTTATATACAGAAAAGGTAAACTGGAATTCATTGGAATGTATTTGGGGTATTTTCAGCTAAATTACATTAAATAACAAGAGCATTTTTACTAACCCCATATACACAATTAATTATATCAGAAAACAAAATAGAAGTACTTATTGATTCTCCCCTTTATATAGCAGCGTACTTCATTTTCATAACAGAGATAAGATTTAAGCTAGAGGGAGTATAAATTTATCTAACAGCTCTTCTAAAATATTTCTTGAACCATCTGTCAATACCTAAACATTTATTTTAAAAGATGCAATAATTAAGTTGGGCAGAAAAGTTGGGCCCAAAAGACTACCTGAGAGGTACATAACGTGACCATGAGGGTAAATGACTTTATTAGTTACCTACTGTTGTATAACAAGTTACCTCAAAACTTAGTATCTAAACAAAAAAAAAAAATATTTTTTATCTCAGAGTTTCTCTAGTCAGGAATTTTGAAAGGGCTTAGCTGGTTGCTTCTGGCTCAAGGTCTTTCATGAGTTTGTGTCTGAAAGGGAAGAAGGATCCGGTCTCAAGTCCTCGGAAGCCTTCAGTGTCTCACTGACTTGTAGTGAGTGACTGTAGTTCTCTGTCCTGTGGTTCTCTGAATAGGCTGCCTGAGTTTCCTCACATGTGTGATCCCAGAGAGTAAGAGTCAGAAAAGCCATGACAGCATTGCAGAGGCATTTTGTTACACTGTCTCCCAAGTTACCTACTGTCACTTCCCCTACCTCGTAAGCTTCCTTTGTTCTACCTAATAGCCAGCATATGAATCCTCCTCATTTTTACTGTTTCTCCAGAATAAATGCTGGTATGAGATGCCATACAGGAAAATCACATTTTAAAGTATGAAAATATGTGCCTTTTTTCAAGCCTGAATATTGAGGGCTAAATTATTTCTAAACTTTCTAAAATTATTTTCTCAAGATAAAACACATTTTCCACATGGGTATGTTATGTGCTGTGTATCAAATTCATATGTTTCTTAAAATATTTTTGCTACAATGATTACAATAAAAGTTGATTGCTAAATATATTAAGAATCTACCAGAAATTTAAAATGAGTCTTCAACATCATAGAAACACTACTCCCATCAAACTGAAGAACTGTCTTATTACATTCCTGGCAGATAAACAGCAAAGTCTTTCCCAAACTTTCCTGCTCATAGAAATTTCATAATACACAGGATAAAAATTACTTATACCTATGACATTTCTCTGATCTACTTAATCAGAACTCCAGTGGAGAGTCCGGAAGTCTTTATTTTTATGAGGAAGCCTAGTTATTCTTTGCATGGAGCAGGTTTGAGAGATACCTAATCTTTACTGAAAGCGCTCCTGCTGCAGACTAGTTATTACCCCACCAGAAAGCTTTTTAAAAGAGCATCATGTTAAGTGAAATAAGCCAGGCACAGAAAGACAAATACCACATAATCTCACTCGTGAGTGAAATATTAAAACGTTGATCTCACAGAACTAGAGAGTGGAATGGCAGTTACCAGGAACTGGGGTGGTGGGAGGGGAGAGAGTTGGAGAGATGTTGGTCAAAGGATACAAAATTTCAGTTAGACAGAAGGAATACATTCAAGAAATCTATTGTACAACATGGTAACTGTGGTTAATAAGAATATAATGTATTCTTGAAAGATGCTGAGAGTGGATGTTAAGTGTTCTCACCACTAAAATTATAATTATGTGAGAGAATGCATACGTTAATTAGCTAGGTTTAGTCAATCTATAATGTATGTATACCCGAAATATATTGTACACAATAAGTATGAACAATTTTATCCACCAATTTTTTTGTATCTAAAATTCACTTTATTGACATCTTAGAAATTTTATTTTTAACAACCAATTCATGGTATTTTGTTGTTTACTATTACAAATGATTTTACAGTGAATGTTCTTCTACATACATTAGTTCACACTTGTTCAAGATGTTAGATAAGATCAAGTAGAATCAATTAATGGTCAAAAGTCCCCATTTTTATTTTTGACGGATATTGCCAAATCGATGTTTATACTAATTTATACTCCTGCATACAGACATATATACCAAACTACACTCCCAGAAGCAAACAACTGAGGGTGACTGTTTTCCCCCACAACCATTAACAGGACATAATATCTACCTATTGATTTTGCCTATTAAATTGATGATACGTACTTCATCAAATTTCTCTTCCTCCAAGTAGAAATGAACATTTTTATAAATGTGAACAATTTGCAATTACAGCTGTTTCCTGTGTGTTTTTTATGTTTTCTGGTAATGTTTACCTGACTTAAAAGTAGCACAAAGCCACAATATGGCTGAAACCAATTTTGAGAATCTTCCCAAGGGAAAGAAGTCAGGAAAAGAGAATGTCGGGGAACAGGAGCCGATAACCAGAGCCGTGAAGCCCCAGGCCCTATTAAATGTTCTAATTCTTCTAGATTTTGTTTTGACCGTATGCAGATTGAAGAATGATAATCATAAAGACCCTCTTATGATTCTAGTACTATCTCTTTCTCTTCCTCTTAAGAGAGGATACAGAAGCAGTGGCTCCATTCCAAGGGATATAGCAGAAGTCATTCTTTGATTAGAGATTTCTGTAATGAATGCTCTTTGCTCCTAATCTTTTATACTTAGACCAGTCACCAAAACCCAAGTAGTTATTCACTGTGCTTATGTTAACAAGGCTACAGGAGATAAACTAAGTAATTTTTTAAAAATTATTAAAGCAGGATCTTGGCTTCCTAAACTCTTATACTTCTAGTGAGAAGTTTCATTTATGAAAGATAGTTTTATCTTTGCATAATATGCTCTTCAGACAACTTTTATCTAGGACTTTACAGATAATTTTCAAAGGATTAAAAGTCAGGCTTAGATCAATTTTATCACAGCAGAGTTAATATTATCTTTTCCCAGATGAGCAATTCCAATGTGAGGAAACTTCTTACATGTTTTCAATTAGACTTTATTATATTTAAACATTAGAAATGGATGAGAAACAGATGACAAAACTATTTAGGTCTTCTTTCAATGTAAAAACATTGAGTCTATAAATATAAAAATAATACTGATACTTACTTTGACACCCCTAAATTGTGTTCCTTCTTTTTTTTTTTTATTATAGGCATGGGCAAAGACTTCATGACTAAAACACCAAAAGCAATGGCAACAAAAGCCAAAATTGACAAATGGGATCTAATTAAACTAAAGAGCTTCTTCTCACCAAAAGAAACTATCATCAGATTGAACAGGCAACCTGCAGAATGGGAGAAAAGTTTTGCAATCTGTCCATCTGACAAAGGACTAATATCCAGAATCTACAATGAACTCAAACAAATTTACAAGAAAAACACAAACAACCCCATCAGAAAGTGGGCAAAGGATATGAACAGACACTTTTCAAAAGAAGACATTTATGTGGCCAATAAACATATGAAAAAAAGCTTATCATCACTGGTCATTAGAGAAATGCAAATCAAAACCACAACGAGGTACCATCTTACAGCGGTTAGAATCCAATCATTGAAAAGTCAGGAAACAACAGATGCTGGAGAGGATGTGGAGAAACAGTAACACTTTTACACTGTTGGTGAGAGTGCAATTAGTTCAACCATTGTGGAAGACAGTATGGTGATTCCTCAAGGATCTAGAACTAGAAATACCATTTGACCCAGCAATGCCATTACCAGGTATATACACAAAGGATTATAATTCATTCTCCTATAAAGACACATGCACACGTATGTTTATTGCAGCACTATTCACAATAGCAAAGACTTGGAACCAACCCAAATGCCCACCAATGATAGACTGGGTAAAGAAAATGTAGCACATGTACACCATGGAATACTATGCAGCCATAAAAAAGGATGAGTTCATGTCCTTTGCAGGGACATGTATGAAGCTGGAAACCATCATTCTCAGCAAACTAACAAAGGAACAGAAAACCAAACACTGCTTGTTTTCACTCATAAGTGGGAGTTGAACAATGAGAACACAAGGGCACAGGGAGCAAACATCACACACTGGGACCTATAGGGGGGTAGGGGCAAAAGGAAGGGATGGCATTAGGAGAAATACCTAATGCAGATGACGGGTTGATGGGTGCAACAAACTACCATGGCACATGTACACCTATGTAACAAACCTGCATGTTATCCACACGTATCCCAGAACTTAAAGTATATCCACCAATTTTTTAAAAAGAAAATAATTTAAATAAATAAGTTTAAAACAACAGAGCTCTAATTGTACAGAATTATATCGCTGACTTGCACTAAAATATTTCTCCCTGGAACCTCCACCACTTACTATAGTTCTGTCTGAGGACCACTCTGAGTATATCTAAATTCTTTGCCAAAGTGTTCAAATGTTAGAGAATACTCCCTGTTCCTCCAGCCCTCTACTCCTTGAATTTGTCTTTTCCTAAATTCCCAAGCTCGAGTTTCTTCACACAATATGATTCCCAGAATCTTCACCATTCCCATGCTCCATTCCTCCCCTCTGGCCATCTCACCCTTGCCAACACTGACCTTGCATAATTCCTTACCCAAAACTAGACTCAGCCTCCACATGGGCTCTGAGCAAAAGGAAGACAGCATGGTCTATGTGCCAGCCTAAAATCCCATTAAGTCTTTATCAGGCTTGTCAGAGCTTTTGGCGAACACCGTACTTATTGTCAATCTAAAGACCTCCACGTTCTAGACTTGAACTGTTTCTAACACACTATCAGCTACCCTACCCTGCTTTCTTTGCCTGATTAATTTCTTAGAATGTCCTCAATTGTTACAGTAGTGAAGAATGCTAGGGCCTATTGGGAAAACAAATGAGGCAGATGTCAATCGGACCCATGAGACCATGTAGCCCAATCTCATTCTCCAGGCCTATCCCCAATTTTCAGAAAGAAATGGGTGTTCCAAGAAGATTAAGTGAACAAATCAGGAATAAGAATAAGAATCAATGCACTTCTGAGCCTTCATCCCAGTGGCTCTTTTACTATGAAAAAGCTGTATCATGTCTACAATAAAATTAATTTACAGTATATGAGAGAAATGATAATAATAGCATATATCGTTTATTGACTACATGACAGAAAACATGTTAAAACATACTTTCTATAGATTGTTTCAGTTAATCCCCAAGACAGCCCTTTGAGGTGGGTGCAACCATTATTTAGGTTTTAAAACTAAAGAATATGGGGCTTTAAAAAGATAAGAAATTTGCCCAAGCCAGGAGGAAAACAGGTTTTAGACCAAAAAATAAAAAATAAAAAAAACTGATTTCAGAAACCATACTCAACCACTATCCATATAGCCACCTCACAACAGTGTATTGGAAACAGAAAGTAATTAAGTGATGAATTATGCAATTAGCACAACACTAAAGCTTCAGAACATAGCTTTTGTTCATGCCTCCATCAGTACTCAACTTGGATTGAATATCAGGTTTCTCATATTTTAGACAAATGTGTGTTACAGGTTAGATATTTCTTGCTATTTCCAGTGTCAAGTGTGTGTCTCTGTCTGCGCGGCTATCCCAGTTTATTGTAATTACCTGTATCAGTATTTTCACATGTAGGCTATGAGTTTCTTGAGATCTGACTTTCACTCTCTATCCATAGCAGAGCATAGGACATGGCACAGAGGAGACACTCAAGATATATTTGTTGAATGAATACATAAAGATATGCCCTTGTTCAGTTGTACAGAAGTACACATAAATCAAAAGAAGTCCCTAGTCATAAAAAGAATTGATATATCTTAGAGAACAGGTATCATAGGGATTCTACCAAACATAAGAGGGTAAGATTGTCCAAATCACCTGCTCAATTTACACTTTCATTCTCATATATGAATAAAATAAAATCAGTGAATTAGGTAGAGCATTAAATAAGCTACTATTTGGAATGGAGTAAGGTATGCATACAGCAGAAAGAGCACAAGCCTCCTGAATTCTTACTGGCTCCACTGCCAAAAAGTTATGCAATGTTCTGCAAAACTTTTAAATTTTTGATAGTCAGTTTTCCTATCAACGAAATTGCAACATTAATAATTTTTGTTCATATTTGTCATTTCATATCAATTCACCTTATTGAAGAAATTATAATTAATAATTATCTTCAACTAGATTGCCTTTTTAGACCACTGATATTTATTAAAGGGAAGTTATACTTATTTGTAGTAAAAGTGAGTTAATTTTTTTCTTCTATAATGAATTTTATGATGTTTTGTTTAAAAATAGATAAGACACACCATGAGTCATCTCCTTTTGTAAATAGGAGTTTGATACTGTGATGCAGGCACACATATGCAAGAAGTATAAATTTGTGTATTTATGGAGAATTTGGAGATCTGTACTCCCAATATAGGCCTCATATATGAATATTCTTTGTTCTAGTTATTCCATTTATAGGAATGTATATTCAAATAAAATTATTTATATAGGCCAGGCACGGTGGCTCACACCTGTAATCCCAGCACTTTGGGAGGCAGAGGTGGGCGGGTCAAGAGGTCAGGAGATCAATACCATCCTGGCCAACATGGTGAAACCCTGTCTCTATAAGAAAAACACAAAAAGCATTAGCCAGGCGTGGTGGCGGGTGCCTGTAGTCCCAACTACTCGGGAGGCTGAGGCAGGAGAATGGTGTGAACCCAGAAGGCGGACCTTGCAGTGAGCCGAAATCGCGTCACTGCACTCCAGCCTGGGAGACAGAGGGAAACTCCGTTTCAAAAAAAAAAAAAAAAAAATTATTTATAAAATCTTAATTAAATGAGGTCCCAGAAAAGTTTATAATGTAAATTTAGAAATAACCACAGGATTGGTAAATTAGCCTTAGTAAAGCCATGCACTGGAATTCACACAAGAAATTATGTTGTAGAAAATATTTCTTAAAAAGATGCTTGTATTTTAAACAAACAAAAAAGGTTACAAAACAGTAGAAAGTCATATTTTTTAGAAGGTATGCATACACGCTTACCTATGGATATATACTTATATAGCAAGTAGAAAGAAATACATTAAAATATAACCTTTACCTTCTTCAGAAATTTTTACTTTCTTATGTAGTTTCTAAATATTCTCTGATAAAAATTTATCGTTATAGGAGGGAAGGGAAGGGAAGAGAAGGGAAGGGGAGGGGAGAGGAGGGAAGAAAAAGGAAGAGAAGCCTAATTTAATTGTAGTCCACTGTACTTTATAGCGGCTTAGTAAACATTTCATAAGGGTGAGTGAGTGGAAGAGATATAAGACTGATAAGACTGAAATCTGATTGTGCCCTAATGCGTGATAGTTTTACTCTTAGGAGAGGTAAAGTCTAAAAGATAAGAATATACATAGCTCATTTCTGAGCCACATTAACGGCAAGCCAGGTGAGCAGCTACCAAACTACAAAGATTATTAAAATATCACTTCAGGAAATCTAAAACTTATTGCCAATTAACTTAGATCTCTACATATGAATTTTTGTATGACTAGTCAAATATAAAATGATCAACTCCCCTCCCTAGAACAGAAAGTAACAGACCATGATAAAACATCAAAACATGCCTTACTTGAGTTTCCTTCAACCCTATTAAATAAAAGTAGAACATATTCTCAAAGAAAATGTTTTGAATGGAAACTAAATCATTAGCCTGCCCTCTATCCATGTATTTTGGAAGTTCCTGCTTTACTTCTATTTCACTAGACTCTTGTTGAGTCTGATAACTGGGCCTATTTACTAAAAGATGCTCAAGCGGCCGGGTGCAGTGGCTCACACCTGTAATCCCAGCATTTTGGGAGGTAGAGGAGGGTGGGTCACCTGAGGTCAGCAGTTCAAGACCACTGTGGCCAACATGGTTATACCCCATCTCTACTAAAAATACAAAAATTAGCCAGGTGTGGTGGTGGACGCCTGTAATCCCAGCTACTTCGTAGGCTCAGGCAGGAGAATCGCCTGAACCCAGGAGGCGGAGGTTGCAGTGGGCCGAGATGGCACCACTGCACTCCAGCTGGGCGACAAGAGCGAAACTCTGTCTCAAAAACAAAAAGAAAAAGAAAAAAGAAAAAAAAAAAGATACTTAAGCACAATTATTTCAGATAGTGGATTGGTTTTGACTTTATAGAAAAAAGTTAAAATATATCTGAAAGTTTTAAAATAGGAATTACGTGCTAGCCACATCAGAATAAAACTAAACAGCCTGATAATACAAACAATAGGGCATGGTCAAGGGCCTCTCAATATAGTACTGAATAGCCTTTAAATTTTTACCCAAGTTTCTAGAGTGGCTCTAGAGACCATGTTTAGTTTTATTCATCTGGCCTTCTTTTGAGATTTTGCTTATTTAAGCAAAAGAGAACACCCACATCTGTAATTGCTATACATCTCCTCTTCTGGATTTTGAGCTTCTCCAGAGCAGAAACCTTATCTTTTTCATGTTTGCAATCATAGAGCTTAACATAGTATATTATGCAGAATCACCACAAAATGCATAATAAACATCTGGATGAATAGATGATGGATGGGAAAATGGATTGATATATGAACTTATTCCTAAAGACTTGAATTTCAGGACTCATTCACTCAGCAAGAAAATAACATCTTCTCATGGTACTCATTTCAAACAAAATGAAGTTCTAAATGTTGTGACCAGGTTCTACAGGACCTGTATTGAGGTTTAGTCTCCAGGATGACCAGCCAGCTGTAATTCTTATCTTGTTCTGTTTCCCTCATCCTCCTAACACTCTTTATCCACAAGCCTTCCTAGAAAAGACCTAGAAATAAACTCTCCTTCTCTCATTGTTTGCAGTCTCTGAGGAATAAGGGCAATAACACAGCTTTATATTTTGTACAATCCTTTGGGTTTACAAAACACTTTCACTTGTTATCTCATTGTATTCATACACTATCCATGTGGGAAAAAGTGAGGAAACTGAGGTTGAGAGTTAACTTTTACAGTTAGTTAAATGGCAGAGCCTCTTCTCAGACTCCAAACTTCCAAATGCAAACCCAGCATTCTTCCGTATTACCTACATTACTGGCAGAGTTAAAAGAATGGATTCTAACCACGAGTCCCAGTGCTGTGTCTGCATTCCTTATTTTCTGTTAATTACCACACTCACTGTCAACACTGCATATTTCAAGGAAAGTGACAATTCAACTTCCTTCTCTGACTTTTGAAATCTTCCTCTCCAGGAAGACAGCAGGTCTGGAGCAAGCTATGGGAAGGACAGTGGCAAGAATTTCTCCCACAGTTGGCAGCCTGTCTGCCCTAACTTTGAATGGATTCAAAGACAGAAGAGGTAAACATGGACTGGAGAAATATGCTATGCATAACACTTAAATGTTCCTGTATGTGCCAACAAAGTTGACATCTATGGGATTTAGCTGAAATATTGCCCCACTAATAAGGTATAGAAAGAATGCCTTTAAATAAAGAGGATTCTTCAGGCAGTTAAAAATGTTATCAGAGAGAATGAAATTGAGCAGGAAGCATGAAGGCTTCAAAACCGTCTTGCTGTTTAACTGGGGGAGCTGCTCCATTAGCTCAGCTAATTGAACACTCCGTTATCTCACTTGGATTGTCACTGCAGAAGAAAAAGGGGCTCTATTTTTGCTCCCTGCAACAGAATCTGAAACTTGTGAAGAGAGGCAAGGGACAGGATATATGCTGATTACTTTATTTTGACACTAGATCTGTGACTAGAATTAGCTGTGCACAGATATAAATATCCTTTAGACACATCCATCCACAAGCAATCTATATTATAATTGGCAAAACTGGCCAGGAAGAAATGAGAGTGGAGAAAAGGGAAAGTTTGCCAATATGTAGGAAGAAATAAAATCTGTGTAGTGTTTTGTTTAATGATGCAAGCATATAAAATAAGATGAGCAGCCGTCTTGTACTTAAGCATGAACGGATACAAAGTTAGAGGTAGAAGAAAACACCTTGTATGCGTGATTTTAGCTTTGCGAAATACTAAAATAAAAGGCAGATCTCCTGATTCCAATTAACTTTAATGATACAAGCATATTTGGGCTAGTTATATGGCTAATTGATGTGTAAAAATGTAAAGTCAGGTCCACATTTTATATCGGAGGTTAAAACATATTTATATACATACAAATTATTTTTTAATGAAAAATGCCAACAATGTGAGGTAGAGATGACTTTCTCAGTCACGTGCAATAGAAGGAATGACATTAACACAAAATTAAAAATTAAATATGTAAAGACTGAAGTTTTTGGACGCCCAAATATCCTTTAAACATCAAATAATAAAGAGCTAAAAAGTAACATTTCACAGATATAATGAAAGTTAAACTTAATGGAGATTCTCAAAATAAGGTGAAAAGCATTGGAACCAAGTAGAAACATGGGTAATTTCATTAAAGAATTAGCAACAGAAGAAATGTAAACACCATTATCAATATATGGAAAATATCCTAATAATTAAAGAAATTAAAAGGTAAACAATGAGATACCTCTTTACAAATATTTTAACATAAAAAAATCAAAGTTTTTTTAGTTAACATTTAGTGAAAGAAAAATATAAAACCCCAAGTGTTTGAAATAGTCAAAAAATGCTGGTCAGAAATGGTACTCATATAAATTTTCCAGACAACGGTTTGTAATAATCATCAAAGATATTTAAGAACATTCCTGTGTGAGGTTTTCACAACTCTACTTACAGAAATCTATAAAAAGGAAATAATCTATGATGTGGATACATATTTGTATGCAAGGACTATTACTGCATTATATGAAATAACAAAAAGAAAGTAATGTTCTTAAGTTCAATTTTATTCAATGCATATAAAGGAAGTGTATATATTTTACAAATAACAATTTTATAAGGCATAAGTCTAAAAGATAAAGGACTAGTTTTTAAAAATATCTTTTTAACATAAAATGGAACACTATAAGTCTTTTAAAATATTTTGGAAGTACATGTAGTAACTGGGAAAAGCATCTCCAACACATTGTTAAGTGAAGAAAAGCAGGCTACAAGAAAGCATGTATAATATAAATTTATATTTGTCATCAAATCAAATGATAACAGCTGCTATAAACAGGTGGTAGTAATTTTTAACTCTCTTTCTTTCATTATCCATATTTTCTAAGTTTTCTAACTCAATATGTATTACTTTTTAAAAAAGAAAGTTAAGAAGCTGTAAAGAATTCCATGCTCATGGAGAGGTAGAATCAATATCGTGAAAATGGCCATACTGCCCAAGGTAATTTATAGATTCAATGCCATCCCCATTAAGCTACCAATGACTTTCTTCACAGAATTGGAAAAAAGTACTTTAAAGTTCATATGGAACCAAAAAGGAGCCCGCATTGCCAAGACATTCCTAAGCCAAAAGAACAAAGCTAGAAGCATCAGCTACCTGACTTCAAACTATACTACAAGGCTACAGTAACCAAAACACCATGGTACTGGTATCAAAACAGAGATATAGAACAATGGAACAGAACAGAGCCCTCAGAAATAATACCACATTATCTACAACCATCTGATCTTTGACAAACCTGACAAAAACAAGAAATGGGGAAAGGATTCCCTTTTTAATAAATGCTGCTGGGAAAACTGGCTAGTCATAAGTAGAAAGCTGAAACTGGATCCCTTCCTTACACTTTATACAAAAATTAATTCAAGATGGATTAAAGACTTAAATGTTAGACCTGAAACCATAAAAATGCTAGAAGAAAACCTAGGCAATACCATTCAGGACATAGGCACGGGCAAGGACTTCATGTCTAAAACACCAAAAGCAATGGCAACAAAAGCCAAAATTGACAAATGGGATCCAATTAAACCAAAGAGCTTCTGCACAGCAAAAGAAACCACCATCAGAGTGAACAGGCAACCTATAGAATGGGAGAAAATTTTTGCAATCTGCTCATCTGACAAAGGGCTAATATCCAGAATCTACAATGAACTCAAACAAATTTTCAAGAAAAAACAAACAAACCCATCAAAAAGTAGGCGAAGGATACCAACAGACACTTCTCAAAAGAAGACATTTATGCAGCCAAAAGACACATGAAAAAATAATTATCGTCACTGGCCATCAGAGAAATGCAAATCAAAACCACAATGAGATACCATCTCACACCAGTTAGAATGGCGATCATTAAAAAGTCAGGAAACAACAGGTGCTGGAGAGGATGTGGAGAAATAGGAACACTTTTACACTGTTGGTGGGACTGGAAACTAGTTCAACCACTGTGGAAGGCAGTGTGGCAATTCCTCAAGGATCTAGAACTAGAAATACCATTTGACCCAGCAATCCCATTACTGGGTATATACCCAAAGGATTATAAATCATACTGCTATAAAGACACATGCACACATATGTTTATTGCGGCACTATTCACAATAGCAAAGACTTGGAACCAACCCACATGTGCATCAGTGATAGACTGGATTAAGAAAATGTGGCACATATACACTATGGAATACTATGCAGCCATCAAAAAGGATGAGCTCGTGTCCTTTGTAGGGACATGGATGAAGCTGGCAACCATCATTCTAAGCAAACTATCATCAGGACAGAAAACCAGACACCGCATGTTCTCACTCATAGGTGGGAATTGAACAATGAGAACACTTGGACACAGGAAGGGGAACAACACACACCAGGGCCTGTCGTGGGGTAGGGGGAGGAGGAAGGGATAGCATTAGGAGATATACCTAATGTAAATGAAGAGTTACTGGATGCAGCACACCAACATGGCACATGTATACATATGTAACAATCCTGCATGTTGTGCACATGTACCCTAGAACTTAGAGTATAATAAAAAAAAATGAAGTTTCTGAAGAAAGCTTGGTTAGAGGACAAAATGATCTTTATATGGTAATCAGTGTTATACACAGGGTGCGTGAGTGTGTGTGTGTGTGTGTGTGTGTGTTTAGAATAAAATATATAAAAATTATGATAAGATTTCCATATGATAATTTAATCTTCATGTCTCTCTACAATCAGAAATACACCAAATTTTATAAAAGAGAAATTATGCTATTACATAATTCCTTTCACTAAATATACAGCAATCCTCACAATAATAATTTTAAAAAACTAAAAATTCTGGATTTAAAAAAAAAATAAGTGAACTACTGACAAAATAAGCAATGATCAGACACTAAAATTCGAGTGACAGTTGGAATCTAACAGATAAAACCAGCTCTGATGTTGATTTTCACCATGTGGCATATGCCAAAATCTCAGGGAACTTGGCTTTTGTTTTGATGTGTATGTTTTGGAGAAGAATGAGGGCCACAACAGAGAAACCTAGATTCTGTCCAATGCTGACAATCTAATGGGAACCCCCTACAAAATCCTAGTTCTAGGACTACATTCACAATGTAAAGATGAACTATAGCTAAATCTGCCTTTAACAGAATGTTAACCTCAAACTTGGCAATTGGCAGGAGAGTCAATTCTTCCATAAAATTTTGTAACTGCAAGCAAACTCTCACATGGGTTTGAAGGTTTGTGGCCTAAATCCACACTGTGGTATATGTAAAACTTGAAGGTAAAAAATGAATTTTAAAATTGTCTTTATTTGCTAGTATGTTCAGACCTTTTCAGAGGCAAACATAAACCCTATGTAGAGAAACACAACATAGCCCAGGTTTCAAGGAATTACCACAAGTATATTTGCAAGGAACACGAGCTCACAATCAAAATGACAAAAGCACTACGGGTAAGAGCCAGCAGAAATAACAAACGGAAATATCAGACTCAAAAGGACATAAGATTTTAGAATTTTTAGATAATAAAATAAGCATGGTTAACATGCTTTAATATACAAAATAAATTTTTGAAACTGAAAATTATAAAGGTAATTTTAAATGAATTATAAAGAAACTTTAGAAATATAACTACATAATAGATTTTAAAGCCTACAGATAGGTTACATTCCAGGTTAGAGAAAAACTAAAAAAAATTAAAGAACTTGAAAAAAATTATCTGAACAAATTACTGGGAATACAAAACAAAGAGGCAAAGAAACAGAAAATATGAAATAAAGGGTAAATGACATGAAGAATAGAGTGAGAAAGCATAACAGAAGAGAATAATAGAGAGAATGAGGGAGAAGTAATATTAAAAAAACTGATAATTTCCCAGAACAAATAAAAGACATAAAACCTCAGATCAAAAACTCCAATGTCTCAGACAGAATGCTTAAAAAGGATCTGTAACTAAGGCACATTATAAAGAAACTGCTAGAAACCAAAGACAGAGAAAATATTAAAAGCCATCAGAAAAAATGACAAATTACCTTCAAAGGAATAGCAATAGACTGACAGCTAATCCTCAATAGTAAAAAATGAAAATCAAAATACAGTTGAATGTGTTCTCAGAAAATAACTCTCAATCCAGAATTACAAATCTGGCAAATTATATCTCTTTTAAGAATAAATAAAAAAGTCAAAATATTTTATCTCAAATGCTTTAAAAAATTTAATCACAGGAGATGTATTACTAAAGGAAATTCTAAATTACACAAATGACAGGCAGAAGGAAAATGATTGTATATGAAAAACAAAATTTCAAAAGAAAGTTAGTAACTTTATTAACGTTCGAGTAAAAACAAAGGGCAATTGTACAGATAATGTGATCATACCAGTACTCCGTCTTCTTTTTTAAAATTTTTGACATACAAAAAGCTATAAATAATGTACACAACTTGATGTCTTTGTAGATAAATATACACTCCTGAAACTATCACCACAATCTAGGCCATAAACCTATCCATCCATTCCTAAGGTTTTCTCCCACTCCCTAATTGTGTTTTTTATTATATTATTATTTGGTGATAAGAACACTTAACATGAAATCTATTTTCTTGGCAAATTTTAAGTGGATAATACAGCATTTCTAACTATAGGTACTATAATGTACAATAGATCTCTAGGACTTATTTTTCCTGTATAACTGAAAATTTCTACCCTTTGACTAATACCTCCCTGTTCACCAAGTGACCCAGCTCCTGGCAACTTAGTTTGCTATGGCAGATTTATTATATAAGTGGTATCACGTAATTTTTGTCCTTCTGTGTCTGGCTTATTTCATTTAACATAATGTCCTCAAGGTGCATACATATTGTTGCAAATGGCAGGATTTTTCTTCTTTTTTAAGGTTGAATAATATTACATCATTTTGTATATATCACATTCTCTTAATGCATTCATTAATCTATCGACATTTTGGTTGCTTCACTGGTTACTATGAATAATGCCTTAATAAAGATGAGAGAACAGATTTTAAATTTGGGATATGTAACCAGAAGTGGGATTACTAGACAATGCTGGAGTTCTATATGTAGTTTTTGAGGCACTTCCATACTGTTTTCTTAGTGGATATACCAATTTATTTTCTCAGCAACAGTAAACAATGGTTCCCTTGTTTCCACATCCTTGCCAGTATTTATCTTTTGTGTTTGTGTGTGTGAAGCCATACTAACAGGGGTGAGATGCTATCTCATTGTGGTATTAATTTGCATTTCCCTAATTATTAAAGCTGTTGAACATTTTTTTCATATACCTGTTGGCCATCTGTATGTCTTTCTTTGAGAAATATCACTTCCACTCTTTTGCCTATTTTTAAATCATGGTTTTTGTTTTAGTTGTTTTTTGATAGAGTTGTAGGACTTCCTTATATATTTTGGATATTAACCCTTTATTAGATATATGATTTACAAATGTTTTAAGTTGTCTTCATTTTCTGTTTCCTCTGCTGTACAGAAACTTTTTAGTGTGATACAATCCCATTTGTCTAATTTTTGCTTTTTTTTGCCTGTGCTTTGCTGTCATATCTAAGAAATCATTGCCAAAGCCAATATCTAGAAGCTTTTACTCTATGTTTTCTTCTAAGAGTTTATGGTGTCAGGTCTTATGTTGAGTCTAATTCATTTTTAGTTGACTTTTGTATGTGGTGTAGAATCGGGGACCAATTTCATTCTTCTGCATGTAGATTTTCAGTTTTCCTAAAACCATTTGTTGAAGAGACTATTCTTTCCCCATTAAGTGATGACACTTCTGCCAAAAATAAGTTGACCATACATGTATGACTTTATTTCTGAGTTCTCTATGCTGTTTCAGTGATCTATATATCTGTTTTTATGTTAGTACCATACTGTTTTGATCATTATAGCTTTGTTATAAATGTTAAAATCAAGATGTGTAATGTGTTCAGTTTTGTTCTTGATCAAAATTGCTTAGGTTATTTTGAGTCTTTTGTGGTTCTATAGAAATTTTAGGATTTTTTTCTAAGTTATCGCAATTTTGATAGGTATTATATTGAATCTGTAGATTGCTTTGGGTAGTAGGAACATTTTAACAACATTAATTCCTTCAATCCATTATTATAAAATGTCTCTCCAGTACTCCAACTTCTTTCCATATCTCTAAACTTAATTAATCAATATTTAATTAATTAATGTTGCACTGTCTTTTGTCTGCCAGGTATCTGGTACTATCTGAAATTAACAGCTCGTGTGGGATATTCTATAAACTCCCATTTAGCATGTCCAATTAATACTATCTGAAAGACAGGCTTACAAGCATTTTGTTTTACAGCATTAGGTAGAAAAAGTGTTCTCCTGTTAGACAAGATATCCATCCTAATAATATGTTCGGGTCAAGGAGAGAGTCACTTCAGATATACCCTGTTCAAACATTTCAATTTTCATCCAAACTTTTACCTAATTCCATCAAACGATGCATCTCTATATTCTCTCATTATAATTGTAGCCCTCATTAGAACGTCACCAACAGGTTTTAAAATCAAAGTTCATTGGATTTCCATGTCAGGGAGCTTCTGAAATATTTTTTCCCACCTCCTGACCAATTTATCCACACATATGTATTCGGTCTTGCGTCCCAACCAGGGGTTAAACCAAAAGATCCTTACCATTATTAATTTGCCAGACCATCACTCCTGGTAATTTAAGGTCAGATTTATTATTATTATTTTTGCCTTCTGGCTTTTTACATTACTCCAAACTAGAGTAAATAGAGATTTATTTAGGGTCCTTCAATGTCGGGATACCAGGACTGACTTTTATCTGTCCACCAAATCTCCAAAGACCTTTATTCATTAATGTAACATCAATGTCCATTTTATTCATCACGTTCTTTATAACTATTTCAAGACTTCTATCCTGCTGAGACAAATCCCTCAACTATTCCTTTTTACTTTTCCCATTCTCTTGTGAATTATTCTAATTTCTGGAACATCTTTATGTCCCATAAGAGGATATGGCTTCTTGAACCTTTGTTTAATTTTGCAGCAGTCCACATAGAGTACTCATGTAAAGGGGTGTTCTTAATCACAGCATTTACCATAAATTGCTTCAGAGGAATATTAAGAGGATGAACATCTCAGTCATAATAAAACCAATCCAGCACTCCTTGCATATGTAACATATCAGACACTACACCTAGGGTTATCTATTTGTCATCTAAAGGAAGGAAAGAGCAATTCCCCTTCTCGGAATAAACTAACTATGATGTCTTATATCTCATCCACTAGGCTAGCTGTCCCTTCAGGAAAAAATCCTATTGTGTGTTTGCATAATGTACAGCCATACTTGATTGTTTAATAGTAAGCTGTGTGTCCTTCATCAATCAAACATGCTCCATCATTTTGCAGCATTCAAAACCAAGGAGACTGCTTCAAAGTTAGTCATCCCCATAATTCACTTTAATAAAGGTTCTTCATAAAGTTATTTTATTAATCCACAAAATGAGAGAGCTCTTTTATAACATGCACCATGGTTTCAGTAGTTTCTTGGTAACCACAGGTCATAAAGGTATTATCTATTTTTAATAACATAAATTTTCCCACTAGTGACAACTCTGAAACTAATGATCATAGCTCATGCAGGCCAAAATCTCAGCTTGGCACAATGCCAGGGCCCATCTGCACACTCTCCTTTGCTTTCATTTTAGCTACTATGAATAAAAATAACCAAGAGATTGCATATTTAGCTTGTTTTCATTATTTTGCATTTTTTTATGTATCCAGTGAGCCACCTCCTCAGTAGATAGATTTATCGTTTCTAAATTCCATTGGTAACTTTTACCAACACTAACTGATCACAGTACAGCTGCTGTCCAATGGGTGACTTCGTAGTCATCCAGGCATCAAATGTTTGTCATTCCCTATCCCTTCATCCTCCCATGTGCTTTCACATGTTTCAGTGAGTGAGTTTTATTCCAATGAATTCCAGTTCTGAAACCAACATTGTTAGGGATCTCTCCAAGACCATCCTCATCCTTAATTATTAGCTAGAAAGACTCAGAAAAGTTGTTATACTTTTGTTTACAGTTTATTACAACAAAGGGATACAGACTAATATCATCAAAAGGAAAAGGAACATGGGGTGAATTCTAGGACAAAGCAGGTGCAAGCTTCCAGATGTCCACTTCGAGAATATCTTGGATGTACCTAATTCTCCTGGCAGCAGTGCATAAAAATGAATGCCAAGTTTTGCCAATCAGGAAAGCCCAAACATGCCTTGGCATCCAGGGTTTCTATTAGGGTCTCTCAGGCAGTCATGTAGCACTTGCATGACTTAACTTAGGTACACAGACTCCAGCAACCCCTAGATCAAAAACAGGTATTCATGATAAATCATATTGTTATCATAAACTTTAATCAAACTGGTACCAAGTGGCCCAAAGCCTGAGATGTACAAAACACTCTTATCAGGCAGAATATTTCAAGGGCTCATTGTTCATCTCCCAGGTATAGGCAAAGAGCTAGTCCTGAAGACATGTCTTTCTTGTAAATGTGCAGGGTTTCAGCAGCACAGGTCTGCTTTCCTATACCATAACTTCAATATTAACATCAAGATATTAAATTACAAAATTAGGAAACTACATGTCAATCTCACTCATAAATATAGATATAGAAATCTTATGCAGATTAACGGAAAACTAAATCTAGTGCTATATAAAGCTATAATACATGATGGCCAAATTAGTCTTGCCTAGGAATAGTAATTAAGGTAATTTTAAATCTGCTAAAAATAAGAGAAAAATCAAATGAATATCTCAATAGGTGCAGAAAAGGCAGTAACCAAACTTCAAAATTTATCCCCAGGGGAATGATATTAGCAAGATGGTTGACTAGAACCCCTGAGCACTTACTGCCCCCCTTCCCAATAAAAACAGCCAAAATAATAAACAACTAAGGTTTGATGAAAATAACTAAAGGAGAGTGTTGAAGTACATCAAAGGAGTAGAACAAACCCTATAGAGCACGAAAACCCAGGATGGACACATATGGGCATGCAAGAAAATGCTGGGTCACCACCACCCCAATCCCTAGCTCAGAGCCAGAAGGGACTTCTGTGAAGAAAAGGCAAGTAAGAGGACCCCAGCAGCTTCCATCAACCCCTTGGACACCTACAGTCCTCACCATGGAGGATTCCTGCAGTCCTCAAAGGCACTATGCCTAGCTGAGAAAGCTGACTAGAGTCCACACAGCTGTGCTTCCCCCAGAGAAGGAGCTGTGACTATGTCCCACCCCCTGTGGCACATCAGCTACTGTACTATGCCTTCTTGGAACTGAAACTACTGCTAGAGTATGTTCTGCTCTGGAGGTGAGTAGCTATGACATCCTTCCATCCCTGAGACTTAGCCACTGCTAAAGTACCCCTGCCAGGTACCCTGCCATCCTCCAGTTGAGCTGCTGCTACACCCTAGCTCACAAGGCCAAGCAGCCATGGAGGTGCTCCATCTACCCCTCCCAGTTGCTGCTCCACCTTGCTCCCACTGTGCCTGAGCTGAAGCAGTGCCCTGCCTCCTGGGAAAATAGTACCTTTGCCACTGAGAGCAATCACAGCCGTCCCCCAACCCCTGACAAGCTCCTAAATATAAAAAGCAAATATTAATGAACATGAGAAATAGATAGCAATATAATAATAGTAGGTAACTTCAATTACCCATTTTCAGCAATGGACAGATCAACCACAGAAAATTAACAAGGAAATACTGCAATTGAACTTTACTTTAGACAAAATGGACCTAACAGGCGTATACAGCACTTTCCATTCAATAGCAGCAGAATATACATTCTTCTCTTATGCACATGGAACATTCTCCAGAATACACCATATAGTAACCCACAAAACAAGTTTAAATAAATTTTTAAAAATAAAAACAAGATCAAGTATTATGTCCAATGGCAATGGTATAAAACAAGAAATGAGGAGGAACTTTGGAAACTATACAAACACATAAAAATTAAGCAGCATGTTCCTGAACAACAAATAGGTCAATGAAGAAATTTTAAAATAAACTTAAAAATTTCTGGAGGCAAACAGAAATGCTGAATTCTACCAAATACGTCAAGAAGAATTAATATCAATTCTTCTCAAATTATTCTAAAAATTGAAGAGGAGGGAAGGCTTCCAAATTCATTCCACACAACATACCAAGCCCCTGGAATACAACAAAAGAAGAACCAAGATGGAAGTTTATAGCAATAAATGCCCACATCAGAAAAGAATAAAAAAAGATATAAAGTAGATAAGATATGTTGCACCTCAAGGAACTAGAAAAAAGAAAAGCCTAACCCAAAATTACTAGAAAAAAAAAAGAAAAACAGTACAGAAATAAGCAAATGGAGACTAAAAAATTACAAAAGATAAACAAAAAGTTTATTTTGTGAAATGATTAAAACCAAAAAACCTTTACCAAGAAAAGACAGAAGACTCAATAAGAAAAATCAAAGATGAAAAATGAAACATTATAACTGATATGATAGACAAAGGATCCTAAAAGAATATTATGAAAAACTATATGCCAACAAATTGTGAAACTTAGAAGAAATGGATAAATTCCTGGATACACACAGCCTAACCAGGCTGATTAATGAAGAAATAGAAAATCTGAACAGACCAATAATGAATAACGAGGTTAAAGCAGTAATAAAAATTTTCCCATCAAAGAAAGCCCAGGACCTGATGGCTTCACTACTGAATTCTACCAAACACATAAAGAACTAATATCGACCAGGCGTGGTGGCTCATACCTGTAATCCCAGAACTTTGGGAGGCCAAGGTGGGCAGACCATGAGGTCAAGAGATTGAGACCATCCTGGTCAACATGGTGAAATCCTGTCTCTACTAAAAATACAAAAATTAGCTGGGCATGGTGGCACTTGCCTGTGGTCCCAGCTACTCGGGAGGCTAAGGCAGGAGAATTGCTTGAACCCTGGAGGCGGAGGTTGCAGTGAGCCAAGATTGCGCCACTGCACTCCAGCATGGTGACAAAGCGAAACTCCATCAAAAAAAAAAAAAAAAGAACTAATAATCAATTATTCTCAGATTATTCCAAAAATTGAAGAGGAGGGGATTCTTCCAAACTCAGTCTACAAGTCCAGCATTACCTAGATACCGAAACCACCAAAAAAAGGCACTAACAAAAAAAGGAAACTACAGGTTAATATTCCTGATGAACATAAATACAAGAATTCTAAATAAAAAACTGACAAATCAAATTCAACAACACATTAAAAAGGATCATTCACCATGATCCCAGGGATGAAAGGATGGTTCAACATATGCAAATCAATAAACATGATCAATCACATTAACAGAATAAAGGACAAAACCATATAAGCAATCTTGATAGACACAGAAAAAGCATTTGATGAAATTCAACATCTCTTCATCATAAAAGCTCTACACAAATTAGACACAGAAGGTATGTACCTCAACACAATAAAAGCCATAAAGGACAAACCCATAGCTAACATCACACAGAATGGGGAAAAGTTGAAAGCTTTTCCTCTAAGATCTAGAACATGACAAGAATGGCCACTTTTACCACTCCTATTCAACATAGCACTGAAAGTCCTAGCAAGGGCAATTGCACGCCTATAATCCCAGCACTCTGAGAGGTCGAGGTGGGTGGATCACCTGAGGTCGGGAGTTTGACACCAGCCTGACCAACATGGAGTAACCCTGTTTCTACTAAAAATACAAAATTATCCAGGCGTGGTGGTGCATGCCTGTAATCCCATCTACTCTGGAGGCTGAGTCAGGAGAATCGCTTGAACCCAGGAAGGGGAGCTTGTGGTGAGCCAAGATTGTGCCATTGCACTCCAGCCTGGGCAACAAGAGCGAAACTCCATCTCGAGACAAAACAAACAAACAAAAAAAGCTATCCTAATAGGAAATAAGGACATCAAAATCCCTGTTTGCAGATGACATGATTTTTTATAAAGAAAACCCTAAAGACTCCACCAAAAACTATAAGAACTAATAAATGTATTCAGTAAAGTTGCAGGATACAAAATCAACATACAAAATTAGTAGTGTTTCTATACACTAATAGCTAACTATCTGAGAAAGGAAACAAAAAAGCATCTCATTTACAACAGCTAAAAAAGGTAAGATACTTAGGAACACATTAAACCAAGGAAGTGAAGAATCTTTATACTGAAACTATGAAACAATTATGAAAGAAATTGAAGAGGACTCAAATCAATGGAAAGATATCCCATGTTCAGGGACTGGAAGAATTACTATTGCTAAATGCTCATACTACACACAGCAATCTACAGATTCAATGTAATCCTTATAAAAATACCAATTACATTCTTAATAGAAATAGAAAAAATCCTGAAGTTTGTATGAAATCTTAAAAGACCTTGAATAGCCAAAGCAATCTTGAGCAAAAAGAACAAAGCTGGAGGATCACACTGCCTGACTTCAAAACATACTACAGAGCTAAAGTAACCTAAATAGTTTGGTAGAGTCATAAAAACAGACATGTAGACAAATGGAACAGAACAAAAATCTCAGAAATAAATCCATGCATCTACGCCTAACTGATTTTTGACAAAGTTGTCAAGAACAAACACTGGGGAAAGGATAGTCTCTTCAATACATGATGCTGAGAAAACTGAACACCCACATGCGGAAGAATAAAACTAGACTCCTGACTCTCACAATATAAAAATTAACTCAAATGAATTAAAGACTTAAATGTGAGACTTGAAATCATGAAATTACTAGAGGGAAATGCTTCATGACATTGGTCTGGACAAGGATTTTCAGGATAAGACCTCAAAAGCACAGATAACTAAAGCAGAAATAGACAATGAGATTGCATCAAACTAAAATGCTCTGCGTAGCTAAGGAAATAACAGAATGAAGAGGCAACTTACAGATCGATCGGGAGAAAACATTCACAAACTATACATCTGACAGGTGGCTAATATCCAGATTATACAAAGAACTCAAATAGCTCAATAGTAATAATAATAATAATAATAATTTGTGAAAGTAGAACAAAAGACTTGTACAGAAATTTCTCAATAAAATACATAAAAATGTCAACAGGTATATGAAAAAATCACAAATCATCAGGAGAATGCAAATCAAAATCACAATGAGGCCAGGCGCAATGGCTCATGCCTATAATCCTCACTTTGGGAGGCTGAGGCAGGCGGATCACATGAGGTCAAGAGTTCAAGAACAGCCTGACCAACACAGTGAAACCCCATCTCTACTAAAAATACAAAATTAGCTAGGCGTAGTGGTGCATGCCTATAATCCCAGCTACTTGGGAGACTGAGGCAGGAGAATCACTCAAACCAGGGAGACAGAGGTTGCAGTGAGCTGAGATTGTGCCATTGCACTCCAGCCTGAGCAACAAGAGTGAAACTCCATCTCAAAACAAACAAACCAAAAAAACATACACACAATGAGATATCACCTCACACCAGTTAAAACAGTATGGAGGTTTCTCAAAATATTAAAAATAGACCTACCATATGATCCAGCAATCCCACTACTGGGTATATGTCCAAAGAAAAGGAAATTAGTATGTTGAAGGGATAAATGCACTCTCATAGTTATTGTAGCAGTATTCACAATAGCTGAGATATGAAAACATCCTAGGTGTGTTTCATCAAATCAATGGATAAAGGAAATGTGGTATGTCTACACAATGGAATATTATACAACCTTTAAAAGGAAGGAAATTCTGTCATTTGGGACAATATAGATGAACCTGGAGGACATTATGTTTAGTGAAATAAGCCAAATACAGAATGACAAATACTGCATGGTTTCACTCATATGTGGAATCTAAAAATTGATCTCATAGAAATAGTGAATAGAATAGTGATTACCGAAGGCTGGGGTAGTGGGGAGGGAATGAAGACAGAAGGTTGGTCAATGGGTACAAAGTTATAGTTAGATAGGAGGAATAAGTTCTGGTCTTCTATTGCACACTAGGGTGACTATAGTTAACAATAATGTATTATATATTTTAAAATAGCTAGAAGAAAGAATTTTGAATATTCTCAATGAAATGATTACTGTTTGATGTGATGAATTTGCTAATTACCCTGATTTGATTATTATATAATGTATACATATATTGAAACTTCATTCTATCCTATAAATATGTACCATATAAACATGTATGGTCATTATGCATCAGTTAAAAATTTAATAAAGTATGCAAAATTTTTATCAACTTTTAAATACAAAAAATTCCTTAGTCTAAGAATGAATAGCTTAATAAAACCTACAAGATACATAATTTTTAATAGTGATATGTTATTCTCTTTTAATTAGGAAAATGATCAGCTGTATTCAATTGTCCTCTGATTCAACATAGTAAGAAATATAGAAAATAAAAAGTAGAATGACTAGAAATATGGTTTTATTCACAGTTATAACTAAATATACATAAAACCAAAAGAATAATAACAGAGTTTAGTGAGTTTGCCAGATATAAAATATTTAAATACAAATTTAAGTGTATACTGACACAATGGATAGAATATGTGACTTACAAAAAGATACTATTTATAGTAGCAGGCAGAAATAATAAAAGATCACAGAAAACATGTAAGATAATTAAGGAAAAATTTAAAACACCACAGATACATACTTCTAAATTCCTAAGTAAATGGTGAGACTGTAAATATTTATTAATAAAATGTTGCAGTATGTTATTATCAGTGTTCCCTAAATTGATGTATATCATTTAATGTGAACAATATCTCAATAACATAATTTTTTGGCAATTTACAATTTTTATTGTCATACTATATACCAAGGTTTTTTTCCTAAAGCTATATTAACTCAAATAGTTCGGTAATATTTCAGGAAAAGATGACAAGAGCAATGGCACAGAATGGAGAATCCAGTTGCACACTCATATATACATGGAAACTTGGTTTAAGACACAGTTGATATATGTTAGTGAGTGAAGGAGAGGTTAAAGTGGAATAAATAATACTGGGAATATTATCTCTGCCTGATTATGCAACAAAAATCAAAACCAGGTTGCTAAAAGATCTAAATGTGAGGGCTTAAACTATAAACATTTCTTATAATCTAAGCACATGTATCATCCAGGGTTCTCAAAAAAAAAAAAAAAATCAGTAACACCCACCCACAATGTCAAGGGTGACTTCCTTTACTTGAAGTCAACTGTTTGTAGATGCTAACCATATCTACAAAATACCTTCACAGCTACACCTAGATTACCATTTGATTAAGTCACCAGGTTCTAGAGAGTAGCAAAGTTGACACATGAAACTATCACAGAACATATCTGAGAGGCTTGAGAATAAAGATACAAGAAACATAACAAGGAAAAAATTAATAAACTTGACTACTCAAAATTAAGAATTTTAGTTTATCAATATATACCATAAACTAAAATGTAAAATATACATACAC
Source organism: Homo sapiens (assembly GCF_000001405.40). NCBI lineage: Eukaryota > Metazoa > Chordata > Mammalia > Primates > Hominidae > Homo > Homo sapiens. The sequence continues at coordinate 53,083,789 of NC_000002.12, forward strand.
ATTGTACTTTATGGTATATATGGTGTGTGTGTATATATATATACACATATATAACTGACAAATGTTTAGTATTGTGAGAGAAAATATTCAAAATCTATGCATCTCATAAAGGATTAATATCCAGAATCTACAAGGAACTCAAACAAATCGGCAAGAGAAGAACAAATAATCCCATCAAAAAGTGTGCAAAGGATGTGAATAGACAATTCTGAAAAGAGGATATACAAACAGCCAACAAACATACGAAAGAATGCCCAACATTACTAATTATCGGGGAAATGCAAATAAAACCGCAATGAGATACCACCTTAATCCTGCAAGACTAGCCATAATTTTTGATATAAAAGTCAAAAAGTAGATGTTGGCTTGGATGTGGTGAAAAGGGAACACTTTTGCACTACTGGTGGAAATGGAAACTAGTCCAACCACTATGGAAAATAGTATGGAGATTCCTTAAAGAACTAAATGTAGAACTACCATCTGATCCAGCAATCCCACTACTGGGTATCTACCCAGAGGAAAAGTCATTATATGAAAAACACATTTGCACATGCATATTTATAGCAGCACAATTTGCAATTGCAAAAATATGAGACCAACCTAAGTACCCATCAACCAACAAGAGGATAAAGAAAATGTGGTATATATACACCATGGAATACTACTCAGCCATAAAAAGGAATGAAATAATGTCATTTGCAGCAACTTGGATGGAGCAGGAGGCCATTATTCTAAGTGGAGTAACTAAGGAATGGAAAACCAAATATTGTATGTTCTCACTTGTAAGTGGGAGCTAAGCTATGACGATGCAAAGGCCTAAGAATGATAAAATGAACTCTGGGGATTTGGTGGTGGGAAGGGTAGGAGGAAGGTGAGGGATAAAAGACTACATACTGGGTACAGTGTACCCTGCTCAGGCAATGGGTACATCAAAATCCCAGAAATTACCACTAAAGAACTCATCCATGTAACCAAAAACCACCTGTACCCCAAAACCTATTGAAATAAAAAAGGTCCCCTGAAGTCCAAAAAAGACATATTTGACTTATTTGGTATATAAAAATCATAGAGGAAGCACTATCAAGTTAAAAAAAAAAAGCATATAAAGCACTTCTATAGATTAATAAGAAAAAGATAAGAACCAAAATAGAAAGTAAATAGAAAAATATGAAAAGATCCAACACATAAAAAACAAATGAACAATAAGCATACAAAAAATATTACATCTCATTAGTAATCAGGAAAATACACATTCAAGTCTCCAAAGAGATAATATTCCATATCCACTTAATGAATAAAAACTAAATTACTTGATAATACCATGCTCATAAGGATATGAATTAAGAATCTTTGTAGACTGCTAGTGGCAGGAAAACCACTATAGAAAACAATTTGGCATATTCAGATAATTGAAAAGCGTTAACAGAAATTTCACTCCTTCTCAGGTACACAAAAGAAAACTCTTTCCTCTGCATACCAGAAGGCACATCCAAAAATATTCAAAGCAATGTTGTTTTATAATATAAGAAAAAATAATGGAAACAACCCAAATATCCATGAACAGAATCTTGGCTTAATAAATGGCTGGCTATTCATAGACTGGAATACTCTACTATGCCATTGCACAGCCTATAGAAACACACATACATGAGCCTTAGAAATATATTAATTATTTTAAAAAAGCAATCTTCAGGAGAATATACACTTGTATGTGGCATTAAGATAAACTCATAGAAACAGTAGACCAGTAGTTGCCAGGGACTGGGAGGTGTGGGAAATGGAGAGATGTTGATCAATGGGTGCAAACTTTCAGTTATAAGATGAATAAATTATGGGGATCGTATGTAAAGGATGGGTAGCTACAGATTTGTTCATTAATTTGATTGTGATAATCATTACACAATGTATACATATATCAGATCATCAGGTTGCACATCTTGAATACATACAACCTTTGTCTATTAAATGTTCTAAAGTTTTTAAAAAACAAAGCATGCAAAACTAAACATTGAGTAAAATTATAAAGATGAGCAAAAGGATTCTATAATGACGACTGAGACCATAGTTGCTTATGAGTGGAAAAAGGAGGACCAGATTGGTGAGGGAGGAATCAGGCCTTTAAAGATTTCTGTTAACCCTCGGTTTATCAAACTGAGTATTCATATGCTAATGTTTGTTATGTGTTTATCCATTTTAATCTCCACATGTTATAAATATTTCTCTGTCCATACTTAAAATTTTATCACTGAAATCCTTCCAATTTGCAACACTGAAATAGCTTTAGGCTTTTTAAAAAGAGTATATTCATCCTCACCTAACAATATACTATTTCCAAAATAAGCAGGATCAGTAACTAACATCAAACTTTTAAAAAATTATATAAATTAAGAGGCTTCTAAGTGGCTCAAGATCATCCCCCTCTTCTGAGTTTTCCTATATCTCTTCCTCTATATCTTCTGCCTATTTTTCACTTTTATTTCAACTCAGTGTAAATCATGCCAAAGGTTCATACTTTTGAAGTTGATAGTATCAACCTCATGCACTACTCTACCTTCTAGAAAAGGTGTCCGCATCCTACAGCCTCCATAGATCTTTATTTTTTGGCTTAGCATAGTGCTTACTTTTCCACATTTAATATTTAACACTAAAAATAATTATTGACTTAGACCCCTCCAATGTGGCCATTTGAAGTCATGTAAAATCCTTGCCATTAAAATCTACAGTATTCTCCTAATGACACTCTATTAAAAATAAGAAGTTGTGCTTTATTTTGGACCCCTCCTTTTAGGTCACATTTTGATTCTAATCTCTGTGTAGCTAAACTGGAAGGCCATGAAGATCAGTACGTAACTTAAGTTTTTTGTTTTGGTTTGGTTTTACCTCCATATCTTTTCATGCCTTTGACCTTTAGAAGATTTGCAGTGGTGAATCTAGTTTTCAAAAAATGATTGAATACTCACAGGACACTTACGCGGCTTTTGTTTTGGCCAGACCTATCTGAGATAAAAACAGAGCCTTTGTGTGATAAAAACAGAGCCTTCAGAACCCATTTTTTTTTAACGGTGCCAGACGTTCAGCTAGTAAGGTATTCAGTGCTAGGATACATAAATATTTTCCCTGTCAATGAGCGAATACAAAAATGTTTTAAAAGAGGATGACCAGAAACTTCTGTTTTGACAAACTATGAAGAAAATAAAGATCAATATTAAGCACTTTCAGCCAACAGCCCTTTGAGGCCAATGTATACCTTTAAAAATAAATAAAGTGTACCAATTATATACATTGTTCATATATTAGTTATTCTTGGGGTCAAAATTAGAAAAACAATACATATAAAATGTGGCTGATCTGTAACTTTAACTAACACTGGGTCATATATTTCCTTACCAGCTCCAAAAACAGTCAGGCCCACTTAAGTCATTGAAACAAAGACATTTATATTATTATTCTTTGGGAGATGGGGGACAGGGTTAATTAATTAATTAATACTTCTACCTTTGCTAAAATCTACAGTTAGTTTATAATTTTCCTTTTTCATTAGCAAATTAGTAATCATTTTTATTAGAAACATATTTCTTTTTGGCACAGTTTCAAACATGAAAAATTCCAAACTAATATACCAAAACCTAAAGACTCCAGTATTGAAACATAACTGAGTCATCCAAATGCCAAAGCTATTAGGTAGTCACAGTGATTCTAAAATTCAGTTTACTGAATACTTTTCTGAGATTTGAGAAATAGATGATAATGTCAGATCAGCATATTTACATTTCACATATGATGAAAAGCTAATGACTGTAGCAATGTAGTTATACAATCTCATTCATGAAAGGTTTACAAAAAAGAGTTCTGAAACAACTGGTATTGTAAGCAGAATAGTAGCCTCCCAAAGATATCCATATCCTAATCCCTGAAGTCTATGAATATGTTTTTACATGTTAAAAGTGACTTTGCAGATGTGATTAAGGATGTTGAGACAGGGATATTATCTCAAATTATCCGTGTAGGGCCCAATGTAATCACAAAAATCCATAGAAGTGAAGGAAGGAGGCAGGACAGACAAGAAGATTTGATGACAAAAACAGAAGTCAGACAAAGACAGAGGGATTCAGAAGGATCTCTTCTCCTAAACAATGACTGTATCAACACAAATATTACAAATTATTAAAATTTATAAGTTGCAGCCCAAGTTGTAAGCAAATGAGAGTAGTATCCCATTAACATTTTTTATCTTTGCCAAATATGAGTGCCAGAAGGAGGGAGAAAATAAACAAGATGTTCAATTCAAAGCATTATTCAACAACCAGGAAAGGGGAGGGGAGGGAAGGAGAGCGGGGAAGGGATGGGAGGGGGAGGAGAAGGAAGTGGAGGAGAAGTAAGGGGAGGGGAAGGGGAGGGACGGGAGTGGAAACAAGGTCGAGTTCTGGTGAGCACTCTCTTTCTAGCTTGCAGACAGGTGCCTTTGTGTCATGTGCTCACATCACCGTTGCTAGATATGTGTCTATGGAGACAAAGAGATCTCTCTCTCTTCTTCTCATAAGGCCACCAATCCCATTGGTATAGGATTCCACCCTTATTTCCTCATTTAGCCTAAATTACCTTTTAAAAGCCCTAATTTTTTTTTTATTTATTTTTTAATTTTAAGTTCCAGGGTGCACATGCAGGATGTGCAGGTTTGTTACATAGGTAAACGTGTGCCATGGTAGTTTGCTGCACCTGTCAACCCATCACCTAGGTATTAAGCCCAGCATGCATTAGCTATTTTCCCTGATTTTCTCTATCCATCAGCATCCCAGCCACCCCCAACAGACCCCAGTGTGTATTTCTCCCCTCCCTGTGTCCGTGGGTTCTCATCGTTCAACTCCCAACTTATGAGTGAGAACGTGTGGTGTTTGGTTTTCTATTCCTACATCGGTTTGCTGACAATAACGGCTTCCAGCTCCATCCTTGTCCCTGCAAAGGACATGATCTCATTCCTTTTTATGGCTGCAGAGTATTCCATGGTGTATCCATACCACATTTTCTTTACCCATTCTGTCATTGATGGGCATCTGGGTTGATTCCATGTCTTTGCTATTGTAAATAGTGCTGCAATGAACATATGCGTACATGTATCTTTATAATAGAATGATTTGTATTCCTTTGGGTATATACCCAGTAATGGAATTCCTGGATCAAATGGTATTTCTGGTTCTAAATCTTTGAGGAATTGCCACATTGTCTTCCACAAAGGTTAAACCAATTTACATTCCCACCAAGAGTGTAAAAGCATTCCTGTTTCTCCACAACCTTGCCAGCATCTGATGTTTATTGGCTTTTTAATAACTGACATTCTGACTGGTGTGAGATAGCATCTCATTGTGGTTTTGATTTGCATTTCTCTAATGATCAGTGATATTGAGCTTTTTTATATGTTTGTTTTAAAAGCCCTATTTTTAAATACAGTCACATCAGGTTGGGGCTTCAACGTAAGAATTTTGGAGGGATACAATTCAGCCTAGAGCATTCCACCCCTGCTCCCCCAAATTAATGGCCTTCTCACATGCAAAGTACATTCATTCTAACCCAATAGCTCCAAAAATCTTAAATAATTCTAGCATCAAGTCTAAAGTCTGGAGTCTAAGCTAAATATCATCTATATCAGATATGAGTGACTCTAGGTGAAATTCATCATGAGGCAAAATTCCGTTCCAGTTATGAACCTGTGAAACCACACGAGTTATGTGCTTCCAAAATGCAATGGTGGGATAGGCTCACAATATACATTCCCATTTCAAAAGGCAGAAACCAGGAGGAAGTAAGGAGTGAAGGGTCTCAAGCAAGTCCAAAACCTAGTAAGGCAAATTTCATTAACTCTTAAGACTCAAGGCCGGGTGCGGTGGCTCATGCCTATAATCCCAGCACTTTGGGAGGCCGAGGAGGGTGGATCTGACCTGATGTCAGGAGTTCCAGAGCAGCCTGGCCAATATGGCAAAACCCCATCTCTACTAAAAATTAAAAATTTAGCAGGGTGTGGTAGTGCACGCCTGTATTCCCAGCTACTTGGGAGGCTGAGGCAGGAGAATCGCTTGATCCTGGGAGGTGGAGGTTGCAGTGAGCTGAGGCCACACTACTGCACTCCAGCCTGGGTGACAGAGTGAGATTTGTCTAAAAAAGAAAAAAAAAAAAATCTCAAGACTCAAAAGTAACCCTCTTTGGTTTAGTACTCTGCTCTCCAGGCACCCTAGGGCAAAAGCATCATCCCACAGCTGTGGGTTGGGGATCCTGCCCTCACGGCTCTGCCAGGCCAGGTCCTCCTGCCAAGCCTCTGGGCAGCCTTACACCTACCTAAGGCTCTGTAGGGCAGTCCTGCCTTCAAGATTTCAGGTGGAGGACTTTGAAATTGAAACAGTGGGTCTGATGATCGATGAATCAACTTTGAGGTCATTTTTTCCTCTTCTTATAGTACACATTCACAGACAAATAGCTCTATCATGCCATCCTATCAAATCCAAGAAGTCTGACAGCCTTTCCTCATTTTGTCTCTTTTCTTCTTCAGTTCATACTGGCAGTGTTTCTGCTCATATAATCACATAAACTCTTTTATCAAGTAATAGTCTAGCAACACCATTGTGTTGCCTTCAGAACGTGCTTTCTCATTTGTTACAATATAGATAGACTGAGAATTTTCTAAATCTTCAAGTTGTGGTTCCTTTTTCTTAACAATTTCTTTTGTAATTCTTCCTTTTCTTTTCTCACTTTACTATAAGCAGTAAGGAGGAACAAAGTCACTTCTTCATCACTAGGCTTAGAAATCTTCTCAACTAAATATCCATTTCTAATACTTGCAAGTTCTACCTTCCATAAACACTAGAACAGAGTTAAGCCAATTACTTTACAGTTGTAATTGCCTGATGGGTTCTTGCTCTCTGCACAGTTAAGACCAACTGTATTAGTCAGGGTTCTCTTAGAGGGACAGAACTAATAGGATGTATATATGTATATGCATAAAGGTGAGTTTATTAAGCATTAACTTACATGATTACAAGGTCCCACAATAGGCTGTCTGCAAGCTGAGGAGCAAAGAGAGCCAGTTCGAGTCCCAAAACTGAAGAACTTAGAGTCCGATGTTCGAGGGCAGGAAACATCCAGCACAGGAGAAAGATGTAGGCTGGGAGGCTAAGTCCATCTCGCTTCTTCACATTTTTCTGCCTGCTATATATTTGCTGGAAGCAGATTAGATTGTGCCCACCAGATTAAGGGTGGATCTACCTTCCTTAGCCCACTGATTCAAATTTTAATCTCTTTTGGCAACACCCACGTAGACACACCCAGGATTAATACTTTGTATCCCTCAATCCAATCAAGTTGATACTCAGTATTAACCATCACACCAATTCACTAAGATAGTGGTATTACAGTAGAGAAAGAGTTTAATTAATGCAGGGATAGCCAAGCAGAAGACAGGAGTTTATTATTCAAATCAGCTTTCCCAAGAACTCAGAGGCTACTGATTTTACAGATAATATGACAGGCAGGGGGCTAGGGAAGGGATGCCATTGATTGGTTGGAAATGAAATCATAGAGGTGTGGAAAACAGTCCTCATGCACTTAGTTAGTCTCTCAGTTGACTTATGAGTCACAGTTCCAGGTAAAGTCAGCCAGTCACCAGAATGCAAAAGTCTGAAAAACAGATCTCAAAAGACTAATCTTAGGTTCTACAATAGTAATGTTATCTATAGGAGCAATTGGGAAAGTTACAAATCTTGTGACTTTCATTGCAGTAAATGATTATAGAAAGGCAAGCTACACCTACATTTTAGCAGAATTAAGGCCCCTTCCATAATTCTAATCTTGTGGCCTTTTATTAGACTTACAAAAGTTTAATATTACTAATATTAGTAGTCTAATATTACTAATATTACTTTTATTAGACTCTCCAAAGAAGGAGAGGGCAAGTTATAGGGAGAAACAATTATCATTTTTGTTTCAAAGGTAAACTATAAACGAAATTCCTCCCATAGTTAACTTGGCCCACCCCCAGGAATGGGAGAAGACAACCAGCCTGTGAGGCTAGAAACAAGATGGAGTCAGCCATGCTAGACTTCTCTCACTGTCATAATCTTTGCAAAGGTGGTCTTGCCACTTCATAACAAGAATCACCTTTCCTCCAGCTATATTTCATATTTCTGAGTCTCACTGAATCTCACTTAACATCTATATATCTAGCACACACCTCAAAAATATTCCAGACTCTACCCACTTCCAAAGCTGCTTCCACATGTTCAGGTAGCTGTTACATCAAAGAGATTTATTATAAGAAATAATCTCATGTGATTATGGAGACTGAGAAGTTCCAAGATCTATAGTAAGCAAGCTGAAGACCCAGGAGAGCTGATGGTAGAGTTCCAGACCAAAAGCTGGCAAAGTTAAGACCAAAGAAGAGCCAATTTTTTAGTTCAAGTCTGAAGGCACAAAAAAAGAAACAAAAGGAAAGAAAAGAAATGGAGCCCCAGCTCAAGCAATCAGGAAGGAGGAGTTCCCTCTAACTCGGACTTTTTATTCTATGTAGGTCTTCAATTGATTGAATAAGCCCACCCACATTAGAGAAAATCTGCTTTACACAGTCTTCTGATTCAAGTGTTAATCTCACCCTGGATCACTCTCACAGACATGCCCTGAGTAACATTTGACCAAATACCTGGGCATTCCATGTCTCATTCAAGTTGATACATAAGATTAACCACCATAAAGACAAAAAGGGATATAAAACATCAAAAGACTTTATCTTCAATTCTATATCAGCAGGTAACAGCACATACAAATTAAGATAATTCAAGAAGGGTTTAGTAAAAGGCATGTGCAAGGTATAGGGAAATCACAAAGTCTGGTGCAATACTCAAGGAGGATGTTGAGTAAAAGGAAACACTCAGTGACGCCTTGAATTAAACTGAAGCAAAGGAGCAACGGTAATAAGCACCCAGCCTCTCTCTGTCCTCCAACATCCTGATGGGCATCCCCATTAACTGAACCCAACAGGAAGACACAGGGTAGTGTCAATGACGTAGTCCACATAGGTCACCCTTGTCAATGAAGAGTGAAACTCCATAAAATATTTGAAGAGATTTATTCTGAGCCAAATATGAATGACAATGGCCTGTGTCGCAGCCCTTGGAGACCATGAGAACATGTGCCCACATTGGTTGCAGATTTATTATAAGATTCACTCTGGAAAGGCAGACAACTTGAAATAGGGGTGGGGTGCGGGTGGGGCTTCCAGGTTATAGGTAGATTTAAAATTTTTCTGATTGGCAACTGGTTGAAAGAATTAAGTTATTATTTAAAGATCTGGAATTAATAGAAAGGAATGTTTGCGTTATGATGATAAGGGGTTGTGGAGACCAAAGTTTGATCATGCAGATGAAGCCTCCAGGTAGCAGACTTCAGAGAATTGATTGCAAATGGTTCTCACCAGATTTAGAGTCTGTTTCATCAGTAATTCCAAAAGGGAGGAGGGTATAATGAGGCATGTCCACCCCCTACCCCACATGATGGACTAAACCAGTCCCTCAGGTTAGCCTTGGAATGCCTTTGCCAAGAGAAAGGGTCCATTCAGATGGTCAGGGGGCTTAGAGTTTTATTTTTTGTTTACATCCTCCTGGGGTACAAAGCTGGCTAAAAGTTCAATACATAAAGACAGGTAGAAAGACTTTACAACATTTTTGTAAAATCACAGATTTTACAGCACAAAATCTGTGATAGTAAATTTATACCTCAATAAAATGATTATTCTGCAAAAAAATATAAATTACAAAAATTGAATCTAGCAGTAGAAAAACTAAACCCACAATCATAGAAAAAGAAAAAACATTATTAAAATGTTACATCAAAAAATGGCTACTGGTCTGGACGGTTTTATTGTAATTCTTTTCCAAGGTTTCAAAGGACTATATCACATTTTTACCTAGGATAAAATGTTGCAAGTATGTTTAATTAATTTTGTGAAGATACCATGCCTAATACCATCCTCAAACAAAATAAAAGTAGAAAAAGAAAAATTTTGGCAAATTTCACTTACAAGTATAAGCATTTTAAATTACTAACAAAACAAAATTAATTTCTATTTAAAAATCAAACTTTTCATTTACCCACCAAGACACAGTAGTGTCTTACCTTACTTACAAGTATTGCAAAAATGATTTAATAACTGAATTTCTGTTGTCCTGGATACCACACTGCTAAATTAAGCCACATGATTATTTTCATATATACATTAAAGTTTCAAAAAGAAAAGTAACTAGTGCTTTGTACAAGGTCATTTAGAATAACTGAAAAGGATACATACACATAGGAATAAAATTTAATACTTAACATCCTATTATAGCTTCCTTATTAAAATTTGTGTCAAAACAATGAAACCTAAAACCCACCATGATTATTTTAGCATCATTACGGATGTTTCTCCCATTTTAACTAGATGTCAAACATGTAAGTGAAGAAATCATCCTGGAATTTTTAAGCCCCTATAGTCACTAAGTGGCTAAGAGATGAACCACCCCTCTGTGTCCTGTCCGAATTTCTGCCTCACAGAATCATGAAAAATTATAAAATAGTTTTTTGTTTATTTTTAAGCCACTAGATTGGCATAGTGTGTTCGACTGACCAGATATGAATCAAGGGCTATAAGACTGGCTTCAGCAGAAGAGGACGAGGCCAACACAGAGGAAAAAAGGGTTGAAAGAGAGAGAAGGAGAAAAGAGATGGAGAAGGGAGGGGAGGAGAAGAGAGGGAAGGAGAGGAAAGGGGAGAGGAGAGAAAGGACTTCAATTAACAACCCCATGACCTCATTTATATTTCTAAATCCATCTGAGCACGAAGCTCTATCCTTCTGTGGACTTTCCATTTTTTAGAGCAGACAAATGCCCTTTACTGCTTAAGTAAGGCTGAGCTGGATTTCTATCACAATAAAGAGTAACTAAAAACTCCTCCAGGTAGAGGGCCTGGTCTGGCTATTTACAGAACTCTACACAGCAGGATAACTGTTTGGCCACCAACCTTCTTAAAATACTGATGTGGATTAAAGTGAATTCTGGGAAGGTGAAGTCCACTTCAGCTGACATAGGTTTGTTTTTGTTTTCCTGGGGGAATGAGTTATGTGACAAAACTAGGTCATCAAAGTTTATAATTGGTGGAAGTATGAATATATAAGGAATTAAAATGAAGTTTAATTTTATGTCTCTTAAAATCAAAGGTTACTAGCTGTGGATATAAGTCACATAATCCATTATTACTATTTGCATTTCAGTTCTTTTTCTAAACATGTTATCATTCCTAAATTCATTTTCAGAAATCATATTTACAATTTGTAATACCTAAGAGATTTGCTGGGTTTGATACTTCTTGTCCTATAGAGGGAAGTCTTAATTATTTTTATCTAATAAGACTACCAGTATTTCTCGCATACATAGCTTTTCTCTAGCCTTTTCCTAGATATAAAGAATTATCTTTGAATCCTACCCTCTTATTAACCACATCCATTTGCCATAATTTTGCACCAGTTGTGGTGACTTTCACAAATGCATCAGGCTGGGTGCTGTGGCTCATGCCTGTAATTTCAGTGTTTTGGAAGGCAGAGGTGGTAGAATCACCTGAGGCCAGGAGTTCAAGACCAGCCTGGGCAACATAGCAAGACCCCACTTCTACAAAAAATTTGAAAATTAGCCAAGCGTGGTCATGCATGCCTATAGTCCTACCTACTCAGGAGGCTGAGGGGGAAGGATCACTTAAGCCCAGGAGTTCAAGGCTGCAGTGAGCTATGATCACACCACTGCACATCAACCCTGGTGACAGAGGGAGACCCTATCTCTAAAACAAAACAAAATACACACACACAAAAACATACTTCATTGGTCCTACAAATCTTAGGAAATAATAACCCATTGGACACAGTGTTATAAAAACAACCTTGTACTATATTACAATGAAAAATAATAATAAACAGGCTCTAAACCAGATTGACTGTAGGAGAGACAGAAGGAAGAGAAAAATCACCTTGTTGCTCAGTCATTATGAAATCAGCTGGGTGTCAAATCAATGACCAGCAAAGAATGTGGCAACTGCCCAGAGAGCTTGATCAAACAGATCAATTCAAACATTTCCTTCATTCATTCAACAACAAAGCCACCAACATTTAAATGAGAATTTAATCAAGAGTAGATTTATTCCTGAACATTAATCAATCTGTAATTCAATTACAAAAACTAGGCAACAGATAACCACGTATATTTGAGAAAGATTTTTTAGCTTTCAAATGTGCTTGGCTCATTTTGAGAATATTAAAAAGAAAATATTAAAATGGTGAAATGTGTTTAAAACCTCACAATGTTAACAGATATTGTGCCTAGTAACAAAATAATCAAATACTCAAAAGTCTTTTGAAAATAAGAGCTGATGTAAACATATAAGTGTATGTATATGAAATATGACAGCAAGAGGGTTAAAGGAAAAGGCATAAAGGTACTTATAATAAACTGCAGTCTCTCTTCTTATAGGTCCTTTATTTTACCTGTGGAATATCAGTTAAATTTCACTTCAGTAACAGAGAAAACACACACACATACACACACACACACACACACACGCAGAGAGATTAAAACTAACGTTTAAAACTTGTGGATGGGACTCTATTTAAAGTGATGGAATACTCTGATGTGAACTACATTTCAAAAGACTAGCTAATTCCTTCCTCTGGAATTAATGTCCATATGACCAGAGTTGGAACATAAATACCTCAGCTCTTTTGGCCCTTGACCAGGATAACATGCAGTGGCCAAAGGCGTAGTAACATACCCTAATTGACTGCCTTCTACCCTGTTTTACTTTCCTACTCTCATAACAGAATTTTTTAGTATCACTTCCCAGATAAACTACTTGAACACAAAACTTTATTTCACCGTCCAATTTTGGAGACTCCAAATTAAAACATGTAACGAGAACATTTCTTTATTCTTCTGAATTTCTGTTAACATTTTATAATTTTCTAGATGTTTGCTAACTGTACTTTTGCAAATTTTCACCACACTCAATTTTTAAATTGCAAACTACATATTTTTTAAACTTAAAAATATTTTAAGTTAATAATCTCATCTCTATTTTTATTTCTGCTTCATTAATATGACCCCATTTTTTTCCAAGGCATAATGTATAACCTTCCACAGCTTATTCTATACTCATAAAATACGCATCATCTTATAAAAGAGATCATTTGTTTTTTAATGCTTACTTTTTCATTCATTAATAGGTAAAAATCTATTGGATTATAATATAATCTATTATAAAAATTATATTGGATTATAATTCAAAATTTGTTAACTGTTACTGAGGTCATGGCAATTCTTCTGTAAATTATCAGTTTATATCTGCTATCCACTCATCTATTGAATTTTTATATTTTATACTAATTTTTAGAGATTTGTTCATATTATTTGTATCAATGTGTTGGAGAAAGGTCTGTCTTATGTAATATTTAAACTGACAATAAATTTGTTGTGATCAAAATACTGTGGTGTTTAAATAAGACTGAAAGGAGTCCATAAAGGATATACATGTGTACATACACTTATGTATACACACACATACACGCACATATCCAAATGGATAGGAGAAATTAACAAATGATAAAAATGATATTATAATTTCAAGAGGAAAGATTTTCTTTTAATAAGTGGCACTGGCTTCATGAATAATCTCTAGGAAATTAAATTTAGACCTTTCTCTTACATCATATAAATGAAGACTGGAACAGGAAAAAAAGAGAAAATTAAAAGAGAAAAGTTTTTAATTCTCTGACTCACATTTCTTTTTTTTTTTTTTTTTTTTTTTTTTGAGATGGAGTCTCACTCTGTCACCCAGGCTGGAGTGCAGTGGCGCGATCTCAGCTCACAGCAACCCCTGCCTCCCAGGTTCATGCCATTCTCCTGCCTCAGCCTACCGAGTAGCTGGGACTACAGGCGCCCACCACCACACCCGGCTAATTTTATTATATTTTTTTTTAGTAGAGACGGGGTTTCACTGTGTTAGTCAGGATGGTCTCGATCTCCTGACCTCGTGATTCGCCTGCCTCGGCCTCCCAAAGTGCTGGGATTACAGGTGTGAGCCACCGCGCCCAGCCTCTGACCCACAAGGAAGCTGTGACATAATAAATGTGAAAGCTCTTATCAGCAGAACAGTATAATCTGTAATGCAAAACAGAAATACTATTATGTTTTATCCAAAGAGTTGTTCCACTTTAGAGAGTGCTTAGCAGCTAGAGCTTGCTATTTAGTGGTAAGGTGTAGGCCACTGAGGACCAAATGCTTCTCTCAAAAGAAGAGAAATTACAACAGAAGGGAGAAAAAGTTGCTATATCTCTGTGATCATAATGCATATCATTTGCATAAAAGGAATATGAATGAGACATTTCTCCAGCAGATTGTAAGATATAAAATGAAGCAGAGGAAGTTTGCTTTCTTCTCATTAAATCAAAAAGAAATTATTCATCTCCATGAATGCAAATGAAAGCTTTCCAAATGATATGGTCATAACATGGTAATTAAATGCCTGAGTGCCAGCCAGATTCCTTCATTTTTCTAAATTATAATAATTACAATTGACCATTACTGGTAATTACAGTGATCAGAAAGTCAAATTCCAATTTTTCATTCTATTTCCTGGAATAAGTGTGTACCTTCCTTCCACTAAAACAATCAAGTGTTCTTTTTCCCTACCGAAATCTCTTCTGCTCTTTTGTCCTAAGCCCATGCAAAACAGCTCTCTCTTCGTGTTCTCCTTTATTTTTATTTACCTCATAATCATGGTTCATTTTTCAGATTTCTCCCAGGGGCTAATCAGGAGATGTCCTTCGTACAAGCATTAAATGAAGGTAAAATTGAAAGATTAAACACGTAAATTATTGTTTCAAAAAGAGTTCTATGTATTCTGAGTGCCTGAATCATTTCATACGTGCCCTCTTATTATCCCAGTAATCAAAATAAGAGCCAGCAATCAAAGGTCCTAACAAATTCTTTGAGGAAAGCATGCAAGTTAAAAAAGAAATGATTAACTACCACTCAGTTTTGCATTAACACCATGTTTCTCAGCCCACATAACTGTATCAGTTTACTAGCTGTGTGGCATATCTTGAGGTTTCTGTCGCTGGACTTTAGACGGATACCTACAAATCAAATCTTTAATATTTCTTTCCTTGAATCAATTCATTCTGTTCTCCAAGTTTCTTTCTTGAAAATAAAAATCCCTCTGAGTAATTCAAGCTTTCCTTAACCATCCATGGCATGAGTTTATCAATTTGCTTTTTTTTTAAGAATGTAATTCAGAACAATTATTGAGGGAATTCTGGAGGTCATTTCTGCAATTCAAATCTAAGTTTCAATGCATAGAAACTTTGGCTCTGCAGTAATAGCTATAAAAAGCATAGATAAATGGGAATGTTGCAGTGCAATTTATTTCAGTACAAAAAAAATTGTAAACTTCTGTGTCCATTAACAGATGACTTACCACTTAAATTAAGGTACAAATATACAATGAAAAAGTGTTCAGATATTATAGAATGATTACATACATACATACTTATTATATGAGAAACTATCCAAGATAACACGATTCCCCTTATGTATATTTTAATGTGTATATGTATATGTGAGAACATGGAGAAAGGGCTCAGAGAATCTTAACCAAATGTTAGCAGCTGTTTAACCTGTCAAGATCTCAGGTAAATTTAATCTTTCATGCTTTTATATAACTTTTCTGTCTTTGATTCTAAGCTATATATGTTACCATTTATCATCACATGCATGGTGATTTCTTATTACAGAGTTAAGAGAAAAGTGAATATATATAGAGAGATACTTTTTCATGCAGCCCCCAGCTTGGCCCTTATAAGCATTTGTGTTTGTCATCCCTGCCATAGAGGAAAGACACTGAAGACCCAAGCGGAATTTCTAACTCCTTCCCTTGTCATATATGTGACTTTAGATTCAACATTCAGCCTTTACTGATTTCAGTTCTGTTTGTATTAACATGAAACTTAGTTCATGGCCTAGACATATTACCTTAACAACATAACACATTTTAAAAATTGATTGTATATTTAAAGCCTATGCCTTAATTCAGTATGCAAGATACAATCTCCCTGCCTCAAAGTAATTACATTCCTTGACCAAATTAGTCAAAGCATCTAGACTTTATCTTGAATTAGGATCAATTTGGAATCTGATGTTAAAGACAGTAAATCCCTTTTGCTAAAGAAGACCACTCAATATTTTTCTACTTGTCAATTAATTAATTGTGAAATATTGCTACCTTTTCCTTTTCATATTACCATCCACTGGGACAACACCCTTAATCCAGCAACTCTAGTAAACTTACCCAGTGAAAAAGAATTTCGTAATTCTGTTTTTATAACACAGTAAGTGTTCATGTCCAGAACAAAACTTTTGATCACTCTAGTACCAAATCCTGATTATATTATTTATTATTAACTGTTATATTAGAAACAAAGGGAGAATAAAAGCCTTGATACACAATAAGTAGTATAGTTTCTCTTTTAGGATCTAGTTCTTTTCAGAAACCAAATTGTACAAATGACTAAACTGATGTCCTTTCTAGGGTATACTGAACTGCTAAAGTAAAAGAGTTTTATACACACACACACACACACACACACACACACACAGAGACACACAAATAGCTGGAATGTTTCTAGGATAATTTATTAATTTTAAATGCTATAGGGGAAAAAAAAAGGTTTCTTGATTTCCTCCAGTACCCCAAAAGGCTAACAAGAAATTTGTAATTTACTTGATGTCTTGATACCTAAACTGAATGCTGTTGCAAATATTGATGCTTCTACAGGCTGAGAAGTCCAAGATCAGGGCACAAGCATTCAGTGTCCAGTTAAGAGCCTTTTGCTGCAATAACAGACATGTAGTCATCTGTCACTGAACAAAAGGGGTACATTCTGAGGGATGTGTTGTTAGGTGATTTCATCATGTGTGGACATCATAGATTATGCTTACACAAACCTAGACGGTATAGCCTACTACACACCTAGGCTATAAGGTATAGCCTATCGCTCCTAGACTAGAAACCTGTACAGCATGTTATTGTACTGAAGACTGTAGGCAACTGTAACACAATGTTAAGTGTTTGTGCTTCTACACCTATATAAATGCGGAAAAGGTATAGTAAAAAATATGGTATAAAAGATAAAAATGGTATACCTGTATAGGGCAGACTTTTATACAACTGGCAGTGCATTAGGTTAGTTTATACCAGAATCACCAAAAACACGTGAGCAATGCATTGTGCTACAATGTTAACGATAGCTATGATGTCACTAGGCAACAGGAATTTTTCAGCTACAATATAATCTTATGGGAACACCATCATATTTGTGATTTGTCATTGATCGAGATGTCATTATGTGGTATATAGCTGTGCTGTAGAATCAAGAGAGACTCATTTTAATAAATTGGATCACAAGATTGTGGAGACTGATAAGTCCAAAATCTGCAGGGTAGGCCAGCAGGCTGAAGATCCAGTAAGAGCTGATGTTGCAGCTCAAATCCAAAAGCACTCTGCTGGCAGAATTCCCTCTTCTTTACTCAAAGTCCACTGATTTAAACGTTAATCCCATCTAAAAAAATACACCTTCACAAGAAAATCCAGACATGTTTAACTGAACATCTGAGTATCATGACCTGTCCAAGTTTGCCACATGAAATTAACCATCACAAGTATTCCAACTCTTTAACAGATATTATAGAAATCATTTTTAAATAACATAAAAATGCTTCAGAAATATACTGCTACAGAAATACTTAAGCTGATGATCAAGCTAAAACACTGCTTCAACATAAGTTCATGTCTTAGGTCATTTGTGCCACTATAACAGAATCCCACAGACTTGGTAATTCATTAAAAACAGAAATTTATTTTCTCATAGTTCCACAGGCTGAGAAGTCCAAGATCAGGGCGCAAGCATTCAGTGTCCACTTCAGAGCCTTTTTGGTGCATCCTCATATGGCAGAAGGCAAAAGGGAAAGAGGACCAATGCCGCATGAAGCTTATTATATAAGGCACTTAACCTCATTAACAAGAGAGGAGCCCTCATGGGCTAATCACCTCTTAAGGGGCCTACCCTTTAACACCATCACACTGGCAACACCTGAATTTTTGAGGGGTCATATTGCATAGCAGTCCACATACAAAGACCTCATATAAAAACTACTACTACTACTAATAATAACAATAACTCCATGGAGAAATTCAAGAACTCCATCACAGATACACAAAATCTGCCCATTCCCCAGATTCTGGTTGCAGAGGGTGGGAAAGAGGCAGGAATGGGAAGAGTAGAATTATAAAAACAGAAGACCTGACAAAACCAGAATACCTGATAGCACCAGATAAAACTCAAATGAATTTGTCTTCATCTTTAATAAAATAATTCACCATGTTAGGGGTACATGGGCCAGAATATTAAATACTAACGGAAAAATTTTGTTTGAATAGCAGAAAACATGATCAATTCATGCTTCATCTGAACTAAGTTAATCTGGAAACTTACAAAGGTGCAACATGAATTAGACCCATCCCATAAGAATCCTTTGGGAATCTTCAAATGACTTTTATATAATTGCCTCTATCTGTTGTTTATAAATATGTATCTATAGGACCGGGCACAGTGGCTCACACCTGTAATCCCAGCATTTTGGGAGGCCAAATGGGGTGGATCACCTGAGGTCAGGAGTTCCAGACCAGCCTGGTCAACATGGTGAAACCCTAACTCTACTAAAAATACAAAAATTAGGCATGGTGGTGCATACCTGTAGTCCCAGCTACTCAGGAGGCTGAGGCAGGAAAATTGCTTGAACCCTGGAGGCAGATGTGGCATTGAGCTGAGACTGAGCAACTGTACTCCAGCCTAGGTGACAGAGGAAGACTCCATATATGTGTGTGTATATCGGTATCTATCTATCTATTATTTATTTTATAGATTTGCTGAATGGTGAATCTAACAAAAGCCACAACATCCACAGAGGCAAAACCAAATCAAAACAAAAATACTATTAGATTTTGTGTTCCCTGTCTAGAACATTCTAAGGTATTTACCGAGTAATCTAGGACATATGTTACTGGAACACTTATTCATAATTTTGAATCATGCAAAGCTTTGCCACCTACTCAGAAGCATTGTCTTTATCACTCACTATTCTCTGTGGAAAAAAATGAAAAGGACCTGTAGCAGAAGTGGAAAGTTACTACCTTTAGATAAACAGAGGTTTCAGAGAGCCTCCAGGAGCAAATACACTGTGGAAATTTACTGCAAACTTATGATTCTTAGCATAAGCTGCTGAGGACAAGAAGTAGACAGCTTTCTCCCAAAACCAGTGGAATAAGATTCTCCTATGTCATACAACCCTTTACATACTCCTGGTTATTTTGTACTTCATACTTTTTCTCGTTATTATTTTAAGGATTTGCCCCTCATATTTATCCTATAATTGTCCTCTTCTTAAGTTTAGTCTTTACTAGAGACACTTATCTCCTACACCATGGTTGTTTGTTTGTTTGTTTTAACTATGGCTGATCTCTCTCCATCCCCATCTTTGGAGGACATTTGGCAAAGTCTGGAGATATTTTTGATTATGAAGACTAAGGGAAGGTGGTGTCACTGGTATCTGTTAAGTAAAGGTCAGGAATGTTGCTAATCATCCTATAATGCACTGAACAACCTCCTGGCCACAAACACAACAAAGAATTATTTGATCCAATATGTCAAAATGCAGAGATTAAAGAACTCTTCTTTTGATAGTCTCTAATGAAGCTTTGGCTGAATGAGAATGAAACCACGGTACTGAAAATAAGAGAGGTTTCCATCCTCCTAGAAAATGACTGTTCTGCAGCTATGTTAACAAGGAGCTACAAGAACCAGTTTTAAACTCATTCATCCATCACTGAAAATCAGCCTCTGTGAATACACTTTTACAAGCCAAATGATCAATTGCAGCCTTTTGTTTTTGAAAGTCTGACAATCAGAAATGTACTCATTCCAACAAACACACTACTCAATGCCAAATACTCAACAGTGACCACACCATACACAGATGTGATAAAACCACTTATACTTCTGAAAATCCACCAATCCCTGAACTCCATGCTTCTCAAAACCTTACATACAATTAGTAGGTTTCTTTTTGGGGGGAGACTTCCTGACCAACAGAGATATGCCCTACTCTATTAAACAATAATTTTACCTTTGTCTTTATATTCCACATACTGACAAACCCAGAATTACCAGATGATTATGAGACCACCACTCAATATCTGAAATAGAAAGGTAAAGATGAATTTATTGATTTTTATAATAAGAGAGAGCTATGCTTATCAGGCATAACAGACTGCTGATAATATATAGTAATTTGAGGAAGCAAGGATTTCTTCCCATAAGAAGGCTATGGCTTTGACACAGACAAAGAAAAAACAGACAAAAAATAAGCGCCACTACTTTTCGTCAATAACATGAGCTTGCAAACAATGTCTCACATTCTCAAACCAAGCAGAGACTAGGAAGGGGCCATATGATGCAATAATGCTGGAATGCAGATTAAACAAAGGAGGCTTCTCCTTTTACAAACTGACTAAACAGGGAGGGTTCTCATGAAAGATTTATAGAGCATCCAGGGCAAAGTCTGACCACTTAACTTTTCATGAATTGGTCACCACTCTAACAAACCTGCAATCATTGGCCCTCAGAGCTGGATTGTATTAGAATGGTGGCTTATTCCTCCACTCACGCATGACCTATACAAGTTTCCCTTATATATTCGACAAAAAAAGAATGTCCAAGAAAAAGCAAAAAAAATAAAAATAAAAATAAAACCAGACTGTACTATACAGACAATGGCAAAAGCAAAACAAGCAGCGGGAGAGTAAAAAGGTTAATGGCAAAAGAAATAAAAAATAGAAAATAAAAATAAATCATCAAATGATATACTTTTAAGCCAAAAGGTCTAATAACCTTATACAGAGCCTAATTATTTATAATACCCAATAATGTACTTGTATAAATAACTATACAAAGATGAGGCTTAATTTTACCAAAATCTTGGTACAACACTATAAAAAGCCCTGTTTGGTTACAAATCCTGGGATAAATTCAGCAAAAAGTAAATTCGGCAAAAAGAGCTCAGTGGAACTTGTTGTAACTCAGATTGTTGTTCAAAGTAACTGGTCTGGCCCAAAATATAGAGTATGAGCAGAAGGGGCCCACTGAGGACACCTGTTGCTCTGAGCATCCTCTGTAATCCTGCTAAGGCAAGGTCTTTGAAACAGTCTCAAGTAGAACCATGTAGGATCTAGTACAGTTCTAATAAAACTGTTGCTGTAAGAACCTAAGAAAGAAATGGTGCCTTTGTCTGCTCTTACACTGAGATGATGAAATATTTCACTGGGTTTTAAGAACCCTGACCCTCAATCTAGTTTCTAGGAAATAGATTTTCTCCTTTCTGGTCACTCTGCTATAATAAAATAATAAATATAGTATAATAAATATAATATAAAAGTTAATCACAGACCATATCATGAGGCTACCCAGATCTCATAGCACATTTCTTGGGAAGCATTTCAGTGCTTAATTTATATAATTGTTTTTAAAACATTTATTGAATGATAATTATGTCCCAGACATAGTATTGTGTGTTAGATATTCAGCAATATTTGTCCATCTATCGTTCACCATTTGTCTGTGATTAGACTATGTACTTAGAAAGCTCTAAAATTAGCTCTTAATATTGTCTTCAATGTTTTATCAATTAAACCTCAAAATATAAAATTGTAAGCTTTTCTTATATTATTCACATATTTACATATAAAGAGTAGAAAAGTCTGGCATCCTGACTTTTTGAAAAAAAAAAAAGATGCTAAAAGAAAAAAAAAGTTATTTGATGCTTTACTTTGCCATTAAAACGTCCAATTGGAGTAGAGAAAAAACAACCTAAAACATTAATAAGGCCATTTTTAGTACCTACATTTACATGATAGTCATATTAATGAAGTAATTTCGTTACTAAAATAAAATAATTTTCTTCCATAATGACACAAGCATCTACCAAATTATTTAACCCCAAAATTCAGATCACTCTTAATTTTCTCATTCACTTCTAATCTATCAGTTAGTCTGTTCTGCCTGCCTACTACAGTCCCCAAATGTATCCCAAATCTACCCCCTCATTTCCACTGCACAGGTAGTTCCCTATAATTTGCCCTGATTATTATCACAGCCTACCAAATCTTCTCAGTTTTTCTATTCCTGCCTTTCTATAATCCACTTCCCAACAAGCAGCCAAAAAGATCACTTTAAAATATACACCATATATGCAAAAACAGACACAAAGAGCAATGGAAGAGAACAGAGAACCCAAAAATAAGACTGCACACCTACAGCTATCTGATCTTTGACAAACCTGGCAAAAACAAAAAAATGGGGGAAGGAGTCCCTATTCAATAAATGGTGCTGGGATAACTGGTTAGCCATATACAGAAGATTGAAACTACACCTCTTCCTTACACCATATTAAAAAAATTAACTCAAGATGCGTTAAAGACTTAAATGTAAAACCCAAAACAATAAAAACCCTGGAATACAACCCAGGTGATACCATTTTGGACATATGAAAAGGCAAAGATTTCGTGATGAAGACACCAAAAGCAATTGCAACGAAAGCGAAAATGGACAAATGGGGTCTAGTTAAACTAAAGAACTTCCGCACAGCAAAGGAAGCTATCAACAAAATAAACAGACAACCTACAGAATGGGAGCAAATGTTTGCAAACACTGCCTCTGACAAAGGTCCACCATCTATAAGGAACTTAAGCAAATTTACGAGAAAAAAAAATCCCATTAAAAAGTGGGCAAAAGAAATGAACAGACACTTTCAAAAGAAGATATATGTGGCCAAAAGGCACATGAAAGAAAAAACTCAACATCACTGATCATTAGAGAAATGCACATCAAAGCCACAATGAGATATCATCTCACACCAGTCAGTATGGCTACTATTAAGAAGTCAAAAAATAACAGATGCTGGCAAGGTGGCAGAGAAAAATGCATGCTTATACACAGATGGTGAAAGTGTAAATTGGTTCAACCATTGTGGAAGACAGTATGGCGATTCCTCAAAGACCTAAAAACAGAAATATGATTTGACCCAGCAATTCCACTACTGAGTATATGTCCAGTGGAATATAAATCGTTCTGTTATAAAGACATATCATGCACACACGTGTTCATTGCAGCACTATTCACAGTAGCAAGACAGGGAATCAACTTAAATGACCATCAGTGGTAGATTGGATAAAGAAAAATGTGGAACATATACACCATGGAATACTACACAGCCCCGCCCCCCCCCCCCCAAAAAAAAGAACAATCCATATCCTTTGCAGGAACACGGATGGAGCTAGAGGCCATTATCCTCAGCAAAATAACTCAGAAACAGAAAACCAAACCCTGCATGGCCTCACTTATAAGTGGGAGCTAAACAATGAGAACATAGGGACACATAGAGGGGGACAACACACACTGGGGCCTATTGGAGGGTGGAGGGAGGGAGGAGGGAGAGGATCAGGAAAAATATCTAATAGGTACCAGGCTTAATACCTGGGTGACAAAATAATCTGTACATCAAATCCCTCTGACACAAGTTTACCTGTATAACAAACCTGTGCATATACCCCTGAACTTAACACACACACACACCATATAACATCCCAGCTTACGACCCTCTAGTGGGCAGGTGCAGTGGCTCATGCCTGTAATCCCAACACTTTGGGAGGCCAAGGCAGGTGGATCACCTGAGGTCAGGAGTTAGAGACCAGCCTGGCCAACATGGCGAAACCGTCTCTACTAAAATTACAAAAATTAGCTGGGTGTGGTGGCACGTGCCTGTAGTCCCAGCTACTTGGGAGGCTGACGCAGGAGAATCGCGTGAACCTGGGAGGTGGAGGTTGCAGTGAGCCAAGATTGTGCCACTGCACTCCCGCCTGGGTGACAGAGCGAGACTCCATCTCAAAAAAGAAAATAAAAGAAAAAGACCCTCTAGTGACTATCCACCATGTTTAGAACAAAATCCAAACCACTGATCATGACCTATCATGGTTGTTCTAATTTGTCGACACTATTTCTTACGTCTTCTTCCTCATGCAACACAATCCTGCCTCACTGGCTTTTTTCTATTTCTGGAAAACATCAAACCTTTACTTGTCTTAGGGCTTCCGTACCTATCATTCCACTTGATGGAATTGACTCCTTCACTTCTCATACAGAAGGTTTCTATAGTCAATCAAATCTTAGAATAAGTGTCACCTATTCAGACAGGACTTTCCTATCTACCCATAGTCTCTTCACATCGCTCAGCTTTATATGCCAAGCATAAATTCTTCATAGCACTTACAAAATATGACATTACATTCTTGAATAATTTATTTATTTTGCTCCTTTATTGTCTTTCTCATTCCTTAGAATATAAACCCTAAAAATGTGTGACTGTCTTACTCACTTATGTAACCTCAGCACTTACAACAGTGCCTGGCAGATAGGAGATCAATAAATACGTGTTGAGCAAATACAGTTATGCTGAATCAACTCATGAAACCATGCATGTGGATGGAGAACAGGTTCAGGTTCAGAGGAGTCAGAAAAACTTCTTACATGTATGAATTGCAGAGCCTCAAAGACGCAATGGCTGGATTCCCATTTCTTGCCTTTATTATAGTTCTTTCTTGGCATCCTCCAAAGTGGTATTTAGGTTTGGTTTATCTAGGATTATTTGATATCTTCTCCTTTAGAGGTCATACCAATTTCTAGATCATTATTGTCTAGAGACAAAAGAGACCCGTACATGCCCCAGAAGTGCATCTTCTTCAGTGACTTTAATACAATCTTTAACTAAGAATACTTGTTAGTCATATTTTAGTAAGTCAGGAAGCACTTGAAGACCAGCATGCTTTCTAAGTCTTGGAATGGTAGAGGTAGAAACACAAGGCTCTTGAAAACTCTTAGAATTTCATGCCAGTGTGTCATTTATCTCCCCTGACAAGCTCTTACCATTCCTTTTTGCATCAATATAAGGCAGGGTTCATCATGTTATTTTTGAAATTATATTGCTCATCTACAGTGTTGTCATAATATTATTTTTATATCATCATATCTTCACTACATAGATCTTGGCCTTTAATTTGTATAAAGGTATGTGATATGTACAGAGTAGCATAGTAGTGAAAAATGAATAAACTTAAAGCTAGAAAGGAGTGGGTTCAAATTCTGCCCCCACCTGTCACTAGCTATATGAACTTGGGAAAATCTCATAACTATCTCTCTGAGCCTCTTTTCTCACAGTAATACTTAGAGTATTTCACAACATTGTTATAAGTAATAAATTTTCTACAAAATATGTTCATTATAATGCCTGACACATCATAGAAACAATATAAGTGTAATTTACTTCTTAAAGCTTCTGTTGTCTATCCTAATGGCAAGTCACCTTGAATGTTTTGGGATCATTGATAGGGCAAACAAAATATATTTTGAAAATAAGAAATATAATCTTTTAAATAAAAATATAGAAGTATAAATGTAGAAAAATAATATACAGATAATAGAATCTCTGGAAGACCAAGCATTGTGAATAAAATTATAGATATTAAGTTGGCTTTGAAAGAACTGGCACAGCTGGGAGGCCGTTCCTGGAGAAGAGGTCAGGCACAACATCCACCAGAGGAGTCAGCCCTCTCTAAGAAGGATTCCACAAGGAGGGCCAAGCTTTTTGTTTGTTGTTGTTGTTGTTTGAGACCTCGCTTTGTCACACAGGCTGGAGTGCAGTGGCGTGATCTCCGCTCACTGTAACCTCCGCCTCCTGGATTCAAGCAATTCTCCTACCTCACCCTCCCGAGTAGCTGGGATTACAGGTGCTGGCAACCACGCCCAGCTAATTTTTGTATTTTTTGTAGAGACAGTGTTTTGCCATGTAGGCCAGGCTGGTCTCGAACTCCTGACCTCAGGTGATCCACATGCCTCGCCTCCAAAAGTGCTGGGATTACAAGCATGAGCCACCATGCCTGACTGGAGGGCCAAGTTTTTAACTTTCTATTTTGGAATAGTTTAAGCATAAAATTTACAAAATAGGAAGTATCCTTGTACCCTTTACCACTATTTTCAACATTTTTCCACATTTACTTTCTTTCTTCTCTCTCTCTTCCTCCATGTATAATTGTTTTCTGAACTATTTGAGAATAACTTCCAGAAATTTTCCCCATTTGCTTCTCTAAGTGCTTCCATGTAACTTTTCTAACAACAAAGATGTCCTTTTACATGATCATAACATAATTATCAAAGACAGGAAGGTAACTTTTTTTTTTTTTTTTTTTTGAGACGGAGTCTTGCTCTGTCACCCAGGCTTAAGTGCATTGGCACTATCTCGGCTCACTGCAACCCCCGCCTCCCAGGTTCAAGCAATTTTCCTGCCTCAGTTCACTGAGTAGCTGGGATTACAGGTGCAGAGAGTAACTTTGATACGATAGTGCGACCAATCTATAGGCCTTTTTCAGAGCTCTCTGATTGCTCCCTTTGTACCCATAAGCAAAAGACAATCCTGGATTATTCAGTTGTCCTATCTGTTTAGTCTCCTTTATCTGTAACATTCTCTGCCTTTCTTGGTCTTTCATGTTACTGATAATTTCCAAGGGTACAGATCAGTTATTTTTGAAGAATGCCTCTGAATTTAGGCTTGTCTGCTGGTTCCTCATGATCAGATGAAATGATGAATGTGCAATCTCCCATGGCAAAGAACACATACATACCCACTAGACTAGAAATTAATAATAAATATTTTACTTTATTTGAAAAATAAACTATGGAAGAAAACATGAGTGCTCATCAATGAAAGAAGAAGGCAGCAGACTATTTTAATTCATTTTATCCTGGTCATGATTGGCTTAGGAGCTTCAGAGGACACAATGGCCCTGGAGGGCTTGCAATTATAACAGAAATAAGGATTAAATGAATTGAAATGAGTATTTATAAAGGTAGAAAAGGAAATTAGTACTTACGTTTTCTTTCATGTTTTTGTTAATTAAAGCAAAACATTTACGCTAAGTTCTAGTCCAGCACGTAGATGTACGTTGTTTACCCTGGGAGAATACACAGCCTAGACCACTCATCACCCCAAAGTGTCCTGTGAGATGGAAACTGATTTGTAACTCCAGTTTACTAGACTTCAGATTTGGAGTGTTTTTTCTCATCTGCTCTTGCTGGGCTTCCTATGGCTTCCGAAGTGTTACATGTAGAAAACTGCTTTCCAGGAAGCCCTCCCAATAGGGAGCAATTAGGATCAGTTGATTTCATTCACAGCACATTGGGGCCCACTGCAATTAAGACTTTAGAGATTTGGTCACTAATGTGGCCAACTTTTTGCAATGAAAGTTGAAAAAAGGGCTATTATAAGGATTTCTCTGTGCACTAAAAGCTTAGAGAATAGAAAAAACATGTAGAAACTGCAGCATCTTTAAAAACAAGACAGTTGCATTTTTTAAAAATACATGAAGAAATTGGAAGACAACAGAATCCCAGCTGAGGCAATCATTACATTCTATGGATATTCAGTCTAAAGCATTTAAATTTAACAATTAAAAAGACAAGGGGGAAGAAGGTAATGTTCCATTTTGGTACTTTAAACCTGTTGTTTATGTTTCACTGAGTGAGTTCTCAAAATTTTCAGCTGTTCTGCTTAAAACCAGAGGCACAAATATTTGAGATCTGGAAAAAGATTACGAATCAAGACAAACGCTCAAATTGTTTTAAAGAAACAGGAAACATCTCAAAATTTCAGTGAAAGGAGATGGGAAAAAAACATTGTAAGCCGTGATTCAAACCATGAAACATACATCAATTTATCAGAAAATATGGTATTACCAAAAGGAAAACTCAATGATGCTATTCTTTGAAAGAATCATCCAAAATTTATCTTGCAAAAGAAGACTAACATCTACCTCTATTTCTTTCAAGTAAATTCTCTTCATTAGCTCCACCAAATCTCAGAAACCTGTATTATAAATATTTTCTTATACATAAATTTTTGAGCCCAGACACTGAATGTTTTTTAAATTATAATATTAAATGTATGAAGGAAACACAATGAAAATCTAGGCATTCAGTCTCACCAATAAGGTAACACTTTCCTGTTACAGGAAGTCAGGGACCCCAAACGGAGGGACCAGCTGAAGCCATGACAGAAGAACGTGGATTATGAAGATTTTATGGACATTTATTAGTTCCCCAAATTAATACTTTTGTAATTTCTTATGCCTGTCTTTACTGCAATCTCTAAAAATAAATTGTAAAGATTTCATGGACACTTACCACTTCCCCAATCAATACCCTTGTGATTTCCTATGCCTGTCTTTGCTTTAATCTCTTAATCCTGTCAGCCGAGAAGGATGTATATCGTCTCAGGACCCTGTAATAATTGCGTTAACTACACAAATTGTACAGCATGTGTGTTTGAGCAATATGAAATGTGGGCACCCTGAAAAAAGAACAGGATAACAGCAATTGTTCAGGGAATAAGAGAGATAACCTTAAACTCTGACCGCTGGTGAGCCAGGCAGAACAGAGCCATATTTGTCTTCTTTCAAAAGCAAATGGGAGAAATATCGCTGAATTCTTTTTCTCAGCATGGAGCGTCCCTGAGAAAGAGAATGCGCACCTAGGGGTAGGTCTCTGAACTGGCCCCCACCCCCCCAGGGCGTACCTGTCTCTTATGGTCGAGATTGCAGAGGTGAAATAAACTCCAGTCTCCCATAGCGCTCCTAGGCTTATTAGGAAGAGGAAATTCCCACCTAATAAATTTTGGTCAGACCGGTTGATCTCAAAACCCTGTCTCCTGATAAGATGTTATCAATGACAATGGTGCCCGAAACTTCATTAGCAATTTTAATTTGGCCTGGGTCCTGTGGTCCTGTGATCTTGCCCTGCCTCCACTTGCCTTGTGATATTCTATTACCTTGTTAAGTACTTGACGTCTGTCACCCACACCTATTTGCACACTCCCTCCCCTTTTGAAAATCCCTAATAAAAACTTGCTGGTTTTTGTGGCTGGTGGGGCATCACGGATCCTACCAACGTGTGATGTCTCCCATGGACACCTTGCTTTAAAATTTATCTCTTTTGTACTCTGTCCCTTTATTTCTGAAGCCAGCTGACGATTAGGAAAATAGAAAAGAACCTACGTGATTATCGGGGCAGGTCCCCCGATACTTTCCCTTTCATATATTCAGTACAGCATTAATGCCGGGTGAGGTATCAGGGCCCCGGCATTGCAAAGAGGTTGACTTGCAGGTTGGTAAGAATAATTTATTGATGACAGTATAGGTTTGAAAAGGAAAGTTTTATTAGATAGAAAGTATGCTGCAGAAGAGTGCAGGGTACCTCAGCAAAAGAGGAATGTATGTGCTGTGGTGGGTTTTCCTTAGGAACATTTATGGACCTTAAAGGGGGAGCTTAACGGTACTTTGGACCATATTACCCATGTAGATCATGATAAAGGATTATATGGGTAGACATTTTATTGCCTTAATTAGCCATGTAGATCATGATAAAGGATTATATTTGTAGACATTTTGGTGCCTTAATGTCAGCAAGGGTTGTACAAAGAGTTTGGGCATGCATGCATTCCGGAGATGTACAGAAATTCTAGTTACTTATAAGTTTCTTTTTGGAAAGAGGACTGGAACCAGATGCTGACTTTAGATAATAAGGAAATCTAATTACTTATAAATTCCCCAGATAAGGAGTTTTGTCTCTGTCTGGCCTGTTTGATGATCACCAGGTGATCTTTGCTCTCCTCAATTAATAACAAAAAATATATGTTAGGCACATTACCTCACAGTAGACAATATATAAATAACAAATAAATGTGGCATGATTCCTATTTATTGGTAAACTATAAAAGAAAAAACAAGTACATAAAATTCTGCTCTCTATTTATATTCAAGTCCTGGTCTGTGCCCACATTTCTCTGTCTACCATATGTACCCATCAAACTAAATGAAAGCAAATATCAGGAAAAAAACTAATAAAATCTTTATAGCAAAGATAATATTAGCTCAATGTGCTCATTTTGGCTGTGTATGTTCTAATACTTGATAAATACAAAGAAAGTATTAAACATTTGAATAACTATAACTAGTGAGTAGCTCATAAGCCATTCACAAAAGTCCCTTAACCCTCACAGGCCATGCACTGTGATTGAGGCTGGGGATAAAATAGTGAACCATAAGATCAAGGACCTTACTTATCACTTATCTTAAAGGTAGTAATAAGAACTATAAGAAAAATGAACCAGAATAAAATTAGAAGAACTGGCAAGTGAGAAGGAACAAGTAGTGTGTAGGTGGTCAGGGAAAGCCCTTCTGAGGTGACAAATTAGGTTAAAAGCTGACTGATGAGAGGCCCCAGCCGTGAAATGACTTGAGAGCAGAGCATTCCTGATAGAGAGAAAGGCAGATGCAAAGGTGTGGCTTGTTGGAGGAAGAGAAAGAAGGGCAGCATGGTTTACTTTGGTGAACACACACCTCTGAACTCATTGGTGCATGCCTTCTGTCAATCCAATCAAAACAACCTAAACAGATCAATCTGATCAGTAGCTACAGACACAATTCACTTTAGGGTTCCTTCCCCTTGGGATACAACATGGTTTCAGGATGGGAAACTTGGTCTAGAAAAGGTTTACTGGATAACCATGGTCCTTTATGATAAAACTCTGCTTATTCCTCTTTAGAGGGCTTATAGGCTGTCTTTAAATCTTGACTCTTAAAATAGTATCTTTGTAAAAAGTTTGCAGAGATGAATATCAACACTTGGCATGCCATCTGCATAGAGCTAATTATGTACACTTGTTATTTGTCACTATAAGATATTTCAGAATGAAATGTGCGAACCATCTGCCAACAACTTTATTCATATTTCTTGGATCATCAACAAGAAAACTTATACTTCTTCCCCTGCCCCCAGGGAACACAAATTGTAATGTGCGCAAGGTGGGTAGATGAAAAATTCTAAAAATGGCTTTGGCATGTACCAGAAAATAGGAGGTATTTTCAGTAGAATGTTCTAGAATCATTTGTATCTATCAGTCTGCTCTGTGTCCTTGATATAGTGTTATACAAATCAAACCTAACTCTCCAAGTGTCAGACCGACACCAGTGCTTTTAGCATTGTTTACATGATTGTTGGGTAAGGAAGAACAAAGAATCTATGAGCTTAAAATAAGTTGCAGTTTGCCATTTGATTATGTAAATATGTGGTTACATGATCCCCAAATTCTCCAAATCACATTTTATGCACAAAGGCAAAACCAGCTTTTGTGTCTTGAAAAACAGGTGCACAATTATCCCTGCAAAGAAAAAGAGAGTCATTTGCAGTGATTTTTTGGGGAAATGATTGAGCAATTACAGACATACATACTAATTTTGTTTCACCCTCTGACCATCTTCTATTTGCAAAATGCATAGGCTTTTTCTCTCTCCTTGATAAGAGAAAGAAGCTGCAGAAACAAAGATAAGGAAGTCGGACAATTTATGCTGCTGCCAGTGGACATCAACCTGGCACTACTTGTTCAAGCATTTTTCAGTGAGTACTTGCCATGCCTGATCATTTAATAAAATACCTTGGTAGTTTAATTCATATCTTACTAATATGACTTGCCTAAACACCCCCACAGAAATCCAGGGATTCAATATTTTTTGCAACATGTATAATTTTTAATTGCACTTTCTAGTAGTCAATCTGGAAATAAATTAAGAGGTGAAGGAAAAAGACTAAAACACCCTATATTTCGATTTGCAAATTCAACTCACTTTCTTGCTACCTGTGGTTTGCTCAATGCCAAAAGGGCCATATATTTGTTATAATATAAGATTATAACTTGGACAATTCTAGAAGGCAAAAAAGAAATGCCGTTCTTTACTACTTGGACTAGTTTCACCAGTTGAATACTATTTTCACTACTTGAGCCACTTTCAATGTTTGAACTCTGAAAAATTTCCAGGATTGGAACTATAATACTATACAAAGTCAAATTTATATTTCCCAAATTAAATTTTTAAAAATAAAGCTGGCCTAAATATATACATCTAAAATGTTTATACATACACATATATATGCATGCTTATCTGCCCGCACAGACACACACAGTCATCTTTATATCTATATTTTAAGGATCCGATGAAGAATCTCTAATTGTAGAAAACTATTTTGCATAATTCAAAATCACTGAAATGTCAATTACCTTTAAAAATTATCCCATTAAAACTACTCGGGAGATTTTTAACTATAATTTTATTCCAATAAATAATTTGATAGGGCTACTGGTAAACCATTAGAATAGAAAAACTTGGCATAAATGAGTTACAGTCAAATACTACAAATATCATAATATCAATAATAATATAGAAAAATATATCTGAATATTAATTCTAGATTGTACTAAATAATGATAAATGTCCTGATGTAAAGGGTACATGAATCAATATTACTTGGAGAAAAGGCTCAAAGCATATACCATTATACCGCATCCTTGGCCATTCTGTTCATCAAGTCCGTGAATGCTTTGAATAAGAAAAAAGTGATTTGCTTATAATTTGCTAATAAAAAGAATCTGAGAAACAGCCAACACATGGGTGAGTTGAGATTAAAAATAGCAGCATGAAATGATGGGCCAAATTTATGAAAAATAAAATTATATAGATGAATATAGTCCAGATGTTATCAAAATTATGTGAGCACAAGCACAGGATAGGGAAGATGGTCTGGCATCTTTGCTCTACCATTTACTCACTGCACGAACTGGAGCAAGTTGCTTAACCTCTTTGTGTTTCCATTTATTCATCCGTAAAATGGGTATAATAAAAACAGTACTGATCTTTTATGAGTGTTGTCGGATTAAATGACCTTAAAGAATTATCAGTCACAGACTCAACTCTCAATGAATGTTAGTTAAATTACTGTTGTGTTTGTTTTCTAAAAAGAGCTGTTTTGCCTAAAAGCTCAATGTGAATCAACAGTGTGATGAGATAGCCAAAATATATTGACCTTCGGCTGCATTAAAAAAAATAAAATATCAAGAGTGTGAAGTCTACGGGAATATTGACAAATGATCATTCAGCCCCTGGCCATGCTCTTCCATCCTGGTGCCTCTGCCTTCTGCTGTCTGTCTCTTTCTCTGTTTTTCTATGTTCATCTCTTTTATACATGTTTCTCTCCCTATCTAGCTCTTTCGCTCTTTCTATGCCACTTCTTTTCCGCCCTTTAGAGGAAACCTCAATACCCCTGAGCGCATCTAGAGGAGAGCAAAAACTCCTCTTGATGCACTCCTCCTTCTTCTCTGGTGAAGGCAGAAAGTGGGAAAATGGAATGGCCACTCTATAAACAGAGACCACGAGGCAGAGGGAGGAAAACTTCTCTGAAGAGCCACACAGGCTGCTGTCAAGAACACCCAAGACAGACAGTTTAAACCAAGCTTTGCAGCTTAGCAGGGAACAAGAAGACTCAGTGGAACAATTACAGGAAGAAGATATTTGGATTAAAAATAGATAAACTTTTTACCTAAAACTTTCTGGAATTAAGAGTAGTATCCTCGTGAAATAGTAAATTTTCTCTCACCCAAAAGTTTGAGAAGAGGCTGGAGAGCCTGTAATTATATGTAATCATGACAGCTGGACTTAAGCATCCTTGAAAAGGCTTGTCAAGTTAACTGTGCTTATAGACAAAAAGCACTGACTTTGTATATGCTGTGACTTGAAGTGCAACAGAGACCCTCAAATGAAACAAGCAAGTAATAACAAACATAATTTTGACTCCAAAATGGAACAAGACTTGGACTGTTTCCATTGGATGAAGACTTTGAAAGCTCTTGTCAAAATGGAAAATACTGTCCAGTAGGGGTTATTTTTTAATGATCATTTTACTGTGAATTTATTTCCAAACTGGGCAATGGAACATATATATAAGATAAAATAGACTTCATTTTATATGTAAAATAGACAACTGGAGAGAAGCTATGAACAATAAAATCCACTGGGTTATATACTTCCTTTTGCTTCTATGTCTTTTGATTTAGGAAGGCACTGCTTATTTATGTGATTGAATGACAAACATCTGCAAAATATCTACATCATATAGTGATCACCGATTACGTGACCCTCCAGATATGAAACAAAATGCACATAATTAAACTACAATGTTGCCATTTTCAATATACCCAATATTATCACTTTGCTAAGCATGTCAGAAAGAAAACTCATTCTTCACTATTATTTGCAACCTAAGTGCAATTGTCAATGCTATTTAAGGATAAAATGTAAATATAAAAGGAAAGGGGGCATTAAACTCAGTATCCAAAATGTAACTACTTCTGAAACAGATTTTTTTAAAAGCACTTGATATATTTGCTATAGATACACTCACCTTTAAATTTTACTACTTACTTGCTAATAAGGATATAAAAATTACTCATTTTATATAATGGCTTAGGAAACAGGATTTTTTTTTTAACAGCATAAAATTCATCATGGAAGTCAGTAGTTGGCTTAAATTGCATTTTTTTCCCTTACTTGCCATTTAGAAAACTAAAAGAGCAAACATTCCAAGAGAGAAAGATTCCAAATAAACAGTAAACAAAGAATAATAATATAAACTAATCTACCCATGGAAAGAAAACAGAAAGAAATTTTTTAAGAAAGCAGTTTGGGAAAGAGGTAACACAAAGAAAACTGGAGAGTTAAACTCAAAAAGATTAGTAATTATATTCAATGTAAATGAATTGGAAACTCCAATGAAAAGACAAAGATTGTAAGATTATAATAAAAGACTCATGTTTGTATATAAAACATACAGACACATTACCTGAAAGTAAAACCGTTTTTTTAAAATGTATCATGTAAAAAAATAAACAAAAACTGAAATAAATACATTAATTCAAACTGAGTAAACTTAAGGACAACAGGCATTAAAAGGAAAAAAGTGAGGCACATTTTAAGAATAAAATGTTCAGTTCACCAGTAAGATAAAACACTTCAAAATTTGTATGCAACTATTATAATCAACTGCAAATATTCTAAAAAAAACTGACATAACCACAAGGAGTAATTCATAATTATTATAGAGGTTTTTAATTCAACTTTCTCAATATCATGGAAAAGACAGGAAAAATATAATAAGGCATAGAAGATTTAAACAAAAAGATTAACAAATTTGACTTGATATATGGTTTGTTGTTCCCTACAACCATAGAATAAAAATTATTTTCAAGGATACCTAAAATATTTATAAAAACTGACCAAAGGAAATCTCAATACATTTTAATTATTAAAATACTACAGAAAATATCTGATCAGAGTAGAATTAAGACAGAAATGAGTAACAATAATATCTTGCCACAAGTTTTGGAAATTAAGAAATATAATTATTTGCAACCCATAGGTCAATGAATAAATTACAAGAAAATATGAAAATATTTTAAATTAAAGGATAGCTAAGATTCTACATATCCAGGTTATGAAAAGCAACTAAAGCTAGAAATTTACAGCTTCAATTTTATAGATGACAGATAGGATAGGACTAAAAAGTTAATAAGCTCTGAATCTAGCTCAAGATGTTAGAAAAGAGAAAAAGGTAAACTAAAAGTAGATAAAAAGAAATAATAAGAACAAAAATCAATGAAATAGAAACCAATGTACAAGAAAGAATTCTCCAAGCCAGAACCTGGTTCTTTGAAAAGATAATAAAATTAATAAACCCCTAAGTAGAATAATCTGGAAAGTAAAAATAAGACAAAGGTAAAAAATTATCAATTTCAGAGAGAGAAAAGCTAATACCATCAAAGATCCTACAGACATTACATATATGTTATGCAACATATATAAAGCTATATGTTATGGAAAACATGCCAATAAATTTACCAAGATGTAAATAGCCTTATAACCATAAAAAAAATGAATCCATAATTTAAAATATTACCACAAGGAGAACTGGCCTCAGTAGCCTCAAGGGTGAACTCTATCAAACATTTAAGGTTATTAGCTCAACTGGAATGTCAAGATACCCTACGGGTACTTTGAGAAAGGAAAACTTACAGACCAATTTCATTTATAAACCTAGATACAAAAATCCTAATGTTTGCAAACTGATTTAGAAACATATATTTAAAAAAAGGGCTGGGCACAGTGGCTCACGCCTGTAATCCCAACACTTTGGGAGGCCAAGGAGGGTGGATCACCTGAGGAGTTCAAGACCAGCCTGACCAACATGGAGAAACCCCATCTCTACTAAAAATACAAAATTAGCTGGGTGTGGTGGCACATGCCTGTAATCCCAGCTACTCGGGACGCTGAGGCAGCAGAATCAATTGAACCTGGGAGGCGGAAGTTGCAGTGAGCCAAGATCGCACCATTGCACTCCATCCTGGGCAACAAGAGTGAAACTCCATCTCAAAAAAAAAAAGAAAAAAAAATATGACAATGAAGTTTACTTCAGGAATAATATATTAAACATTTTTTTTAAAGTAGTCACTATGGTATGCTACATTAAGAAAAAAATCTTATAATTATCTCAACAGACCAGAAAAGCAATTGATATAATTCAACATTTATTCATGATTATGAACTCATAACAAATGATTAATATTAATAGAAAGAAAACTTCTTAATGTAAGGAAGAGTAATTACAGAAAACTTGTAACATTTAAAGATGTTTTCAGTTAGTGGTAAAAGTTGAAAACTTTACTTTGAAATCAGGTCCAAGACAAGTATACCTGATATGATTACTTGTATTCCATGTTGTTCTAGCAAGAAAAATATGCAAGAAATAAAAGCATAAGAATTGGAAATGAATAAATAAACTGCCACTGTTAGCAGAGGTCTTGAACTATAAGTAGAAAATCCAAAAGAAAAACCAGAAAAATAATTAGACCTAATAAGTGAGTTTAGCAAAGCGCTATTTATTGTGACCATACAAAATTAACCTGTATTTCTATGTACCAGCAACAAAAAGCAGAAAATAAAATTAAAAGATTTTATTTAAAATACATGAAAATATGGATTTTATTTAAAATACATAAAAATATGTGACCAAAACACTGTGAAAGATTGAGAAAAATGTTAAGAAATCTTATTAAATTGAGAGATACAATACTTTAATTGACCAGAAAACTTAACATTTAAAAAATAAATCTCTCCAAGTTGATCTACAAACTAAAAGCAGTCACAATGAGAATTGCAACAGATTTGTGTTTCTGGTTTTAGGGAACTAGACAAGCTGTTTCTATAATTAATATAAAAATGCAAAAGATCAAGAATAGCCAAGACTATCTGGTTTCTGCTCTCAAAAATTATCAATGATCTCAAAGAGTGTTAATTTACATGGGTAAAATGTATTTATTATATTAGGCATTAAAATGGGGAACAGTTTAAAGATATTTGTAATAAATTGATTTTAAAATAATCAATGAATACGTTACAACAAAATAGCATATTTTAACATATGAAATAATAGTATACTTTTCAAATCAAAAATAGAATAACAGCGGCCCTGTTTGCATTTTCGCCAATCTCTTCAAAATCTGTTTTAATAGAAGACTGAATTAAATCTGTTGCATGTGCAATTTGGTTCAAGTATATAAAGAAAATCCAGCCTCACATATATATGTAGTTGGAAAAGATTTTATCAAGGACCCCCTCATTGGGTCTTGGGTACCTCGTAGGCTTTGAGAACCACTGACAACAAAAATCTTAAAATGACTATGGAGTGATGACCTGCTTTACTTATTTTGTTATTTTTTATTTTATTTCAATAGTTTTTGGGGAACAGGTTGTGTTACATGACACGGATAAGTTTGCTAGTGGTGATTTCTGAGATTTTGGTGCACGCACCACCCAATCAGTGTACGCTGTAACCAGTGTGTAGTCTTTTATCTCTCAGCCCCCTCCCACCCTTTCTGCCACGTCCCCAGAGTCCATTGTATCATTCTTATGCTTTTGCACCCTCATAGCTTAGCTCCCACTTATGAGTGAGAGCATATGATGTTTGGTTTGCCATTCCTAAGTTACTTCACTTGGAATATCGGTCTCCAATTCCATCCAGGTTTCTGCGAATGCTATTATTTCATTCCTTTTTATTCCTGAGTAATGTTCCATGGTATTATACCACAATTTCTTTATCCACTCATTCACTGATGGGCATTTGGGCTGGTTCCATATTTTTGCAATTGCAAATTGTGCTGCTATAAACACACGTGTGCAAGTATCTTTTTCATATAATGACTGTTTCCTCTGGGTAGATACCCAATAGTGGGACTGCTGGATAAAATGGTATATCTACTTTTAGTTCTTTAAGGAATCTCTATACTGTTTTCCATAGAGTCTGTACTAGTTTACATTCCCACCAGCAGTGTAAAAGTGTTCCCTTTTCACCACATCCATGCAAACATCTATTATTTTTTTATTATGGCCATTCTTGCAGGAGTAAGGTGGTATTGCATTGTGGTTTTGATTTGCATTTCCCTGATCATTAGTGATGTTGAGCATTTTTTCATATGTTTATTGGCCGCTGGTATATCTTTTTTTGAGAATTGTCTATTCATGCCCTTAGCCCATTTTTTGATGGGATTGCTTTTTTTCTTGCTGATTCGTTTGCGTTTCTTGTAGATTCTGGATATTAGTCCTTTGTCAGATGTATAGATTGTGAAGATTTTCTCCCACTCTGTGGGTTGTATGTTTACTCTGCTGATTGTATCTTTTGCTGTGCAGAAGCTTTTTAGCTTAATTAAATCCCATCTATTTTTGTTTTTGTTGCATTTCCTTTTGAGTTCTTGGTCATGAAGTCTTTGCCTAACCCAATGTCTAGAAGGATTTCTCTGATGTTATCTTCCAGAACTTTTAAGTTTTCAGGTCTTAGATTTAAGACTTTGATCCATCTTGAGTTGATTTTAAGGTGAGAGATGAGGATCTGGTTTCATTCTTCTACATGCGGCTTGCCAATTATCCCGGCACCATTTGTTGAATAGGATGTCCTTTCCTCACTTTATATTTTTGTTTGCTTTGTCAGAGATTAGTTGGCTGTAAGTATTTGGCTTTATTTCTGGGTTCTCTATTCTGTTCCATTTGTCTATGTGCCTATTTTCATACCAGTATCATGCTGTTTTGATGACTATGGCCTTTTAATGTAATTTGAAGTCAGGTAATGTGATGCCTCTGGATGTGTTCTTTTTGTTTAGTCTTGCTTTGGCTATGTGGGCTCTTTTTTTAGGATTGCTTTTTTCATTCTGTGAAGAATGACAGTGCTATTTTGATAGGCATTACATTGAATTTGCAGATTGCTTTTGACAGTATGGTCATTTTCACAATATTGATTCTACCCATCCCTAAGCATTGGATGTGTTACCATTTGTGTCGTCTATGATTTCTTTCAGCACTGTTTTGTAGTTTTCCTTGTAGAAGTCTTTCACGTCCTTGGTTAGGTATATTACTGGTTTGTTTGTTTGCACCTATTGTAAAAGGGGTTGAGTTCTTAATTTGATTCTCAGCTTGGTTGCTGTCGGTGTATAGCAGTGCTACTGACTTGTGTGCATTAACTTTGTGTCCTGAAAGTTTACTGAATTCATTTATCAGTTCTAGGAACTTTTTGGATAAGTCTTTAGGATTTTCTAGGTATATGATCATATCACTGACAAACAGCAGCAGTTGGACTTCCTCTTTACCAGTTCAGATGCCCTTTATTTCTTTCTCCTGTCTGATTGCTCTGGCTAGGACTCTCAGTGGAAATGCTTTCAACTTTTCTTCATTCAGTATATGTTGGCTATGGGTTTGTCATAGATGGCTTTTATTACCTTAAGGTATGTAACTCCTGTGCTGATTTTGCTGAGGATTTTAATCATAAAGCAATGCTGGATTTTGTCAAATGCTTTCCCTGCATCTGTTGAGATGATTGTGTGATTTTTGTTTTTACTACTGTTTATGTTGTGTATCACATTTACTGACTTGCAAATGTTAAACTATCCCTGCATCCCTGGTATAAAACCCATTTAATCATGACGGATTATCTTTTTGATATGCTGTTGGATTCAGTTAGCTAGTATTTTGTTGAGGATTTTTGCATCTATGTTCATCAGGGATATTGGTCTGCAGTTTTATTTTTTTGTTATGTCCTTTCCTGCTTTAGGTATTAGGGTGATACTGGCTTCATAGAATGATTTAGGGAGGATTCTCTCTTTCTCTATCTTTTGGAATAGTCTCAGTAGGATTGGTACCAATTCCTCTTTGAATGTCTGATAGAATTCAGCTGTGAATCCATCTGGTCCTGGACTTTTTTTGTTGTTGGCAATTGTTTTTTATTGCCATTTCAATCTCGCTACTTGTTATTGGTCTGTTCAGAGTTTCTATGTCCTCCTGGTTTAATCTAGGAGGGTTGTGTATTTCCAGGAATTTATCCATCTCTAGGTTTTCTAGTTTGTATACATAAAGGTGTTCATAGTAGCCTTGAGTGATCTTTTGCATTTATATAATATCAGTTGTAATATCTCCCACTTCATTTCTAATTGAGCTTATTTGGATCTTCTCTCTTTCTTGGTTAATGTTGCTAATGGTCTATCAATTTTGTTTATCTTTTCAAAGAACCTGTTTTTTGTTTCATTTATCTTTTGTATTGTTTTGTTTCAATTTCATTTAGTTCTGCTCTGATCTTGATTATTTCTTTTCTTCTGCTGGGTTTGGGTTTGTTTTGTTCTTGTTTCTCCAGTTCCTTGAGGTTTGACCACAGATTGTCTATTTATGCTCTTTCAGACTTTTCAATGTAGGCATTTAATCTTATGAACTGTCCTCTTAGCACTGCTTTTGCTATATCCCAGTGGTTTTGATAGGTGTTGTCACTATGATTGTTCAAAGAATTTTTTAAATTTTTAACCTCATTTCATTGTTGACCCAAAAATCATTCAGGAGCAAGTTATTTATTTTCCATGTATTTGCATGGTTTTGAGAGTTCCTTTTGGAGTTGATTTCCAATTTTATTCCACTGTAGACTGACTGAGAGAATCCTTGATATAATTTTGATTTCCTTAAATTTATTGAGATTTGGTTTTTGGCCTATCATATAGTCTGTCTTGGAGAATATTCCATGTGCTGATGAATAGAATATATCTCCTGCAGTTGTTGGGTAGAATGTTCTATAAATATCGGTTAAGCCCATTTACTCTTGGGTATAGTTCAAGTTCATTGATTCTTTGTTGGCTTTCTGGCTTGATGACCTGTGTAGTGCTGTCAGTGAAGTATTGAAGTCCCCCACTATTATTGTGTTTCTGTCTATCTCATTTCTTAGGGCTAGTAGTAATTGTTTTATAAATTTGGGAGCTCCAGTGTTACATGCATATGTATTTAGGATTGTGATATTTTCCTGTTGAACTAGTATTTTTATCTTTATATAATGTCTCTCTTTGTCATTTTTAACTGTTGTTTGAAATCTGTTTGTCTGATGTAAAAATAGCTACTCCAGCTTGCTTTTGGTGTTCATTTGCAAGGAATATCTCTTCCACTCCTTTACCTTAAGTTTATATGAGTCCCTAAATGTCAGATGAGTCTCTTGAAGACAGCAGATACTTTATTGGTAAATTCTTATCCATTCTGCCATTCCGTATCTTTTAAGTGGAGCATTTAGGCCATTTACATTCAATGTTAATATTGAGATGTGAGGTACTATTTTATTCATTGTACTATTTGTTGCCTGAATACCTTGTTTTGTTTTGTTTCATTGTGTTATAGGTCCTGTGAAATTTAGGTTTTAAGGAGGTTCTATTTTGTTTTCATTTTGAGGATTTGTTTCAATATTTAGAGCTCCTTCTAGCAATTCTTATAGAGCTGGCTTGGTAGTGGAGAATTCTCTCAGCATGTTTGTCTGAAAAA
Organism: Homo sapiens; assembly: GCF_000001405.40. Taxonomy (NCBI): domain Eukaryota; kingdom Metazoa; phylum Chordata; class Mammalia; order Primates; family Hominidae; genus Homo; species Homo sapiens. Next base: position 53,125,828 of record NC_000002.12, read on the forward strand.
GACTGTATCTTTCCTTCATTTATGAAGCTTAGTTTCACTGGATACAAAATTCTTGGCTGATAATTGTTTTATTCAAGGAGGCTAAAGATAGGACTCCAATCCCTGCTAGCTTGTAGGGTTTCTGCTGGTGTTACTCTAATACATTTTCCTTATAGGCTATCTGATCCTTTTGCCTCACAGCTCTTAAGATTCCTTCGTCTTGACTTTAGATAGCCTGATGACTATGTGCCTAGGTGATATTTGTGTGATGAGCATCACCTGGGTGTTCTTTGAGCTTCTTGTATTTGGACATCTAGATCTCTAGAAAGGCCAGGGAAGTTTTCCTCAATTATTCTCTCAAATAAGATTTCCAGGCTTTTAGATATCTCCTATTCCTCAGGAACACCAATTATTCTTAGGTTTGGTCATTTAACATAATTGCAAACTTCCTGGAGGCATTGCTCATTTTTTAAAATTACTTTTTCTTTTTGTCAGACTGGCTTAATTTGAAAGCTTTATTTTTGAGCTCTAAAGTTCTTTCTTCTACTTGATCAATTCTATTGTTGAAATTTTCCACTGTATTTTGCATTCCTCTAAGTGTGTCTTTCTTTTCCAGAAGTTGTGGTTGTTTTTTAGTTATGGTGTCTATTTCTCCGGAGATTTTTTTTGTCCATATCTTGTATTATTTTTTAAATTTCTTTAAGTTGGTTTTCACCTTTCCCTGGTGCCTCCTTGAGTAGTTTAATAATCGATCCTCTGAATACTTTCCCTGGCAATTCAGAGATTTCTTGTTGGTTTGGATCCATTGCTAGTGAGCTAGTGTGATATTCTGGGGGTGTTACAGAATTTGTCATATTACCAGAACTGTTTTTCTGGTTCCTTTTCATTTGAGTAAATTATGCCAGAGGAAAGATATGGGACTCAAGAGCTGCCGTTCAGATTCCTTTGTCTCACTGGGGGATCCCTTGATGTGGTGCTTTCCCCCTTCCCCGAGGGATAGGGCTTCCTGAGAGCAGGACTGCAGTGATTTTTATTGCTCTTCTGTGTCTAGCCATCTAGCAGAGCTACCAGACTCTGGGCTTATAATGGAAAGTGTCTGCAGAGTCCTGTGATGTGATCCATCTTCAGGTCTCTCAGCCATGGATACAAACACCTGTTCTGGTGGAGGTAGCAGGGTAGTGAAGTGGACTCTGTTAGAGTCCTTGGTTGTAGGTTTCTTTAGTGCACTGGTTTTCTCAAATGCTGGTTTATGCTAGAAGTGAAGTTGTCACAGGGACAGATTCAGGACTTCTGGTCAGCCAGGATGTTACAGGCAGTGGTATTAGCTGTTGTTTTCTCCCTTCTTGGAGCAGGGTTGTTCTGTTGTGAGTTGCTGTAATGGCTTTAGTTGGTTGGCCTCCAGCCAGGAAGTGGCAGTTTCAAGAGAGAATCAGCTGCGGTAATATGGAGGGATACAAGTTTGCCCAAAGGTCACCTAGATAAGTATTCAGATTTCTCAGGTGATGGGTGGGGCCATAGAACTCCCACGAGTTTATCTTTTCTGTCTTTAGCTACCAGGGTGGGTAGGGAAAGACCATCAGGTGGGGACAGGGCTAAGCATGTCTGAGCTCAGACTCTCCTTGGGCGGGGCTTGCTGGGGCCACTGTGAGGGATCGGGAGGTTGGTTCTCAGGCCAATGGAGTTATGTTCCAAGAGGTAGCGTGGCTGCCTATGCTGTTTTGCATAGTTTGCCAGAGAAGTGGGGAAAGCTGGCAGTGACATGCCTCACCCAGCTCCCCCAGATTCTGCCCAGGAAAATTCAGGCTCAGTTGAAATTATTACAAAGTTCCACTGGAAGTCTCCTTCTGCCTGTGGCCCTTCCCCAAATCCACTGGCTGCCCTCCCCAAGGACCCCTGTGAAATAAAGTCAGAAATGGCTTGCCTCGGCTTCCCTGGAGACCAGAAATACCTACAGGGCTCTTCCCACTGTTTCTTCTACTTTTATATTTCACTCAGCTCTCTAAATTTGTTTCAGCTCTAAGGTAAGTTTAAATCCTTCTCCCATGATCTAGATGTTTAGTTTCCCCAGTGAGGATGTGTGTTTGGAGGTGGACATTTTCCCCTCACACTTCGGGGACTCAGTTTTTCAGCTGTCTCACGGAATTTGCAGAAGCAAGTCGCTTCTTTCAAAAGGCCTGTGAATTCTTTTGGTTTTCCCGGTATGTTCATACAGTGGTTCTTGAAGCAAAAGTTCATGATATTAGTCTCTACACACTGTTCTGTCTGTCTGATAGAGAGAGGCAAGTTAGTCCTGCCTCCTATATGCCATTTTTCTAGTTAGTTTATAAAGAAAAAGGGCTTATTTGGATTCTTTACTTTTTTCTCTTTTTTGAGGCAGAGTGTCACTCTGTCACCCAGGCTGGAGTCCAGTAGCACAATCTCAGCTCACTGCAACCTCCGTCTCCTGGGTGCAAGCAATGCTCCTGCTGTACTTGTTTTAAAGTAGCAATTACTAAACAGTATGGGTTGACAGAATAAGAGAAAACAAACCAATGAAAAAAGAAAAATCCTAGAAACAAACACATACACACATGAACTCTTCATTGATACCAAAAGTGACATTGTGGAGACATGGGAAAGGGTGGTCTTTTCAATACATGATACTGGGATAAGTGGATATCCCTGTGAGAAGAAAATGTAACTGTACTCCTCCATTCTACCATACAAAAAAAAAAAACCAATGTCAGGTGGATTTGAGACCAAAATGATAAAGCTTTTAGAAGAGTACAGGATATTATTAAGTTTACAGGGAAAGGAAACATTTCTGTTTTGATTTTTAACAGAAAGCAAGAAGCACTTGCTATTAAAGGTGAAGACAGATATTTTTGGCTATGTGAACATTAAATTATTTTCCTCAAAATGTATCAAGGGAGTTGAATAACAAGTCATAGAATAGAAATGGTATTTGCAATTCATAGAGTTAATTTTAAAAGTGCAAAGGCAGAATATAGACACCACATAGTAGAATATATCGAAATTGCCAACAGTCAAATTAAAAATTGATTGTCCTCATTATTCATCAGAGAAATGCAAATTAAAACTGTAATTACACATCACTATACACCCACCAGAAATATCTAATTAAAAAGACTGACAGTGTAAGTGCTAGCAAGGATGAGAGAGAAATGGGTACTCTCATAAAGCTTCGTGTTATCCGCTAAAGCTGAAGACATCCTCTATGACCTAGCAATTCCATTCCTATGTATAAACTCAACTAAAATTCATTCACAAGCACCGAGAGACAGACAAAAGGATTTGCATAGAAGATTCATTATTCACAGCTAAAAGTTTCACTCAGTTCAAATGTTCATCCATAGTTGATTAATTTAATTATATGTATTCAATAGAACACCCTAACCGTACTGAGAATGAAAAGACAATAGTTATATGTAAAAACATAGCTGAATCTTATAAATGTAATGTTAAGCAAAGAACCCATATGTAAAAAGAGCACTTATTACAGATATCAGTTTATGTAATTTTTCTTTGTATGTGTTATATTTATACTACAGTTTTTTTAAAAGTCACACTATTAATGCAATAACGTTTATGATCACACATGTGCCAGAAATCTAAGCGCTTAATATAAATTGTCTCATTCATTTTTGAAAACAACCCCTATTTTATAGATGAATAACCATAGTCATTAAAAGGTTAAATAATGTACCATAATGACAAATGACAGTGCCAAAAATAGACACAGTCTTGATTATAGAACTGTGCAGAGTATACAGTCTGTCTTATATGCATCATCTCATTTAATCTTAACCTGCAATGTAGGAGCTCTTATTTCTATCATCTATGAGAAAAATGAGCCCTGGGGAGATTCAATCAAACGCTTAGGGTCACAAAGCTAAGAGGAGCCCAGGCCTCTACCAGCTACACTACATTGCATTGCCTTCATTTAGTCACACAAACAGGCACCTTTTCATTTTTTATTCTATACAAGTCCACTGAAATAAATTAGCATACTGGCTTATACCAAGTAAACGAATGTTTGGGGAATGAAACATGCCATACTGAGCCATTCAACCCAGTTATTCAAAAAATAAGGTCTATCTCTGTTTCCTAAATAAGAATTGAGAATTAACATGCAGATAGCCAGAAACATTTGGTTCTGGCTTTTCATGGCAGCATGTGACTAATGATTTCACATTTGTGATATGGGATTTCTGGGACCTAACCACAACTAGCTCTGGCAATTACGAAATCCAGTTTGAAAGAACAGTGCAGAGCAACTAAACAGAGAAACAGTCAGTGGCACTTGTGGGATACAGGTGGCTAATTCCTCAAAACAGTAGCAGAATCTTGCATTCCTAGTGTCTTTATCACAAACTGCAAATGTGACAATGAAGGAAACCATGTGAGGAAGGTCTAAGGAAAAGAAGAACAACTGTGCAGAGAGAAGTACAGAAAGGGAGAAGGGGGAGTAAACAGACAAAAAGAAAGGGAAAAAATTAAGGCCAAATAATTTCCATTCCTTGGTACATTGAATATGGAAAAAAAGAAAATAGAAAAAAAAGAAATAAATAATACCCTTCTGCCCCAAGGGAGAAAAGAAAACCTGGTCAGTGAAAGGGGTGATGATAGAAACCTTCATTCTGAAGTCTGCATTTGTGGAATCAGACCACATTCTCATGACTCTCAGCATTTAATCACCATTCTTCTAACTTCTCAGTCTGAGTTGAAAAATGCCATCCCACATTCAGCATGATGTTGCAATAAAATGACTTCTTCCGGCAACTTGCCTTGTAATTTGGGTGAATTACAATTGGTTCTGCCGGTAAAATAATGTGATGCCTGTTGGTGACCTAAAAACTTAATAGCACCATTCACTTGCTTCCCGGCCCTGAAAATAAATGGTTAGTCACCAAATTTGTAATTTCAGAAGGGCCTGACTACCACTATTTGAGTCACTACTGCACACAGTAGCTCTGGTAATACTGACATCAAAATATCTAGGGCAAATTTTGAAAACAAGATGAGTTTCATCCAACGTCTCTTCCTTTTGGAGCTTCGTTAACTGCACTAACACTCATTTAATAGGGCTTATTAGTCAGAAGGGGATTTCAGTCTTAGTTATCAATTTCATGCAGACTCCTTTCAAGAGATTTCCTTCCACCTTTGGCATTTGTCTTATTTGCAAACTCTACCCTCTATTGCTTGTAAATCTGCATTCCCAAAAGAAAAATAATGAAATTCATATCCTATATTTGTATGAGGTAGCACAGGAGTTCAACTGCTTTCTGAAACTAGTAGAATATTAGAGATACTCCTTATCATATGAGAAGAGACTCCCAATATTCTCCAAGGGAACTCCAGTAAAGAAGAAATAAAAATCTTTTAAAATACTGTTATGTTCTAAAACAAATGAATAGTCTGAAATAGAAAGTAGACAGTTAAAAAATTATTTGCATTGGATATCATAAATTTAAAGGAATAACAATAAATGATATCTGTGATGGTGATTATTAGATAAGTATTTTCCTGCCTCCACTTGCCCTCTAAATTTTCTGCATTATTTCTGTTTATTTTAAAAATACGTATTTTTAAATGCTGACATTGAGGAGTTACTTTAAATGACAGTCAATATACTTTGTCTGAAGCAAACAATTAGAAAAAGTCATACCCAAATTAGTATGAAATAAAATGTATCTGCTAATGGAAAGCAAGAGAAGTAGGTAACTTTTGTCAGGTAGAAAATTGCCATCTTCAGGATTATGAGTAATGTGATACCTAACATTCTTTGGGTCCACCACAAGAAAATGACTCACATGTATTTCCTGTATTCGAACTTACTAAAGTAGAGAATGGAAAAGGAATCCAATTGAAGAAATAATTTCATGTGTAGTTTGGAGGTCCATTTATATAGACATGTGCTGGGGAAGTAGGAGGGGGCATCTATCTATCTCTTGATATCATTGGTTGTCAAAGGAAGAAAGTAGGAACATTGTTTTTCTGGCTTTATCATATGCTCTAAGCATCAAAGCAGACAGCCTAGGGCAGTCAGAACCAGAATCAAGACCACCAGTGCAATAGACTAAAAGAGTGGTTTCTAACCAGGTTGTCCTACAGGGGTCATTTGGCAATGTCTGGAGACATTTTTGATCAGCATAATTGGAAGATTCTACTGGACTCTAGTGGAGAGAGGCCAAGGATGCTTCTAAATATCCTACAATGCACAAGACAGCCCCCATGATAAAGAGTTAACTGGCCCTAAATGTGCCAAGGTTGAGAAACCCTGGCCTAGGGAAATACCTAGGAGTATAAAAGATACACTGCTTAAAATTCGGACCACAATATATTAATCAAGCTGAATAAGATTTACTTAGAAGTCAAAGGCACATAAAAACTAACTGGGCTATAGTTTAATTGTTGATTTGTATATTTTATGTTAAAGTATATCTTAAAGAAATCAAATATTCTTAATTTACCCAGTGACATTAAAATGAAAAATACTGTGCTGATACAATACCAAAAATTTAATTCAAAAACAAAAATTAAGTGATAAATTGGACCTCATCAAAATGAAAACTTCCGCTCTTCAAAAGACACTGTTAAGAAAAGAAAAAGACAGTTTCATACTGGAAGAAATATTTGCAAAACATGTATCTTATAAAGGACTTGTATCCAGAATATACAAACAACTCTCAAAATTCAATATGATAAAAAAATCTCAATTTAAAAAAGTGTGTAAAATATTTGAAAAAACATTTCACCAAAGAAGATATAAAGATATCAAAAAGGTACATAAAAAGATGTTCAACATCATTAGTAATTAGGAAAATATAAATTAAAATCATAATGAGCTACCACTTTACACCTTTCATAATGTCTAAATTTTAAAAGACCAACAATATCAAGCGTCAAAGAAGATGTGGAGTATCCAGAACTCTCATACATTGGTAGGAATATACAATGGTACAATCACTTTGGAAAACAGTTTAATTTTTGTCTACAGAAAGATTTGGACACAACTACATAAATAAATGTAAGACTTTTCAAAAGCCAAAAACCTGGAAACAACCCAAATGTGCATCAACAAGTCAGAGGTAGCGAATATCTGAGTTACTGGTGGAGAATCCGTACAGGTCTGCAGAAACCTCAGTTTGTGCCTCTGAAAAAAAATAAATTGACTGACGGGTGTAAGGTAGAAAAAGAGACTAAAGCAAGTTTCGGAGCAGAAATGGAAATTTCTTAAAAAGCTTTAGAGCAGGAAAGAAAGAAAAGTACACTTGGAAGAAATCCGAGTGGGCACTTTGGAGGTCAAGTGTCCCATTTAACCTTGATCCTAGGATGTAATATGCTGACTTACTTCCGGCCTCTTGTGCCCCTTTCCCTTCATTATTCCATTAGGGTGGACCACCTGCATGCGCAGTGCCTTCCTTGTGCTTGGTGGGTGAGCATGTGCAGTGTGTTTACTGGAATTGTACCCATGCTCATCTGAGGCATTTTTCCCTTTTCCAGTGGAAGGTCATACACCACCATTTTGTCTCTTAAAGTGCGTGCTCATGCCCACTTACCAAATTCCTGAGATTTTATTGGAAGCCATCAATGACCAATTTCAAGTGTTTGCAAAATTGCCGGGGACTCCCTGGCTCCAGCTGCAACCAATTAACATTTTAGTGTGACAACAGCCAGACCATCACCTGATGGTCTCCTGACATTCTTGGTGGGTCAGAGGGAGACCTCTCCTGCCCCACTCATGCCTGATTAGCTACCTGCTGTTACAAAATGAATGGAAAAAACAAACTGTGGGGTATCAATACAATGAAGTATCACACAGTAATCAAATGAGGTAGATGCACACAACCACATGGATGAATCTCAAAATAATTTTGCTGAGTAAATGAAGCCAGACAGAAGAGTATATACTTTGTGAATCTATTTATAAAAGCCCCCAAATAATGCAAGCTAATCTATAGTAACAGAAAGCAGATCAGTGGTTTCTGAGAAGCCAGGTGACAGAGGGACATTGAAGAGGGGCTGAAGGGAGGGATTACCAAGGGACTTACGGGAACTTTGCGGGGGTTATGGATATGTTTACCATCTTGATTGTGGTAAAGATTTCATGGATGTATACATATGCCAAAAATGGTAAAATTGTACACTAAATATGTGAAGTTTATTGTAAAACAATTACATTTAAATGAAGAAATTTTAAAAATAAAGAACATTTTTTTCTGCAAAAGACGCATCAAAGCTTCCATCATGTATTGTTCTAAGATTTTTAAGAGCAAACCTAGAGCCATTATTTGATTCCTTAACTGCCATATAGTAGCAAGAACTCTTGATCAGCCAACAAGGCCCACTGGAGTCCTAAGTAAACCACTTGAAGCCAAGATTGAGGTAGTTTAATTCAGTATTTTATGATATTCTTTTTATGTGAGGTAGTTCAGTTTTTTCATGTGATAACCAAATATTCTTCTACAAAGAAGTTTATGTATTTGCATAAAATATCACTCAACCAGTCCTTAATGTAGGAGTATCTAAAATCAATCAACAAATAATTACTGAAAATCAACATAACTCATCCTAAAGTCAGAGCTATTGTTACTCTTAAGAGTCCCCAAATGATTAAAGAAATACAACTACATATATATGTATATCTATCTATCTATATAAATGTAGTTGGAAGATAAAAGGAAAATTGGAACAGGGCTGGTTTCAATAGAATTTTCATGATGTGAAATAATTCCATAGGTTTGAGTAACAAGAAGTCTGTATCAAGGAATTGAAGCCTGAGATGTATTCATTCATTTATTCAACACATATTTATTGTGTGTCTACCCTGTGAAAGGTATTACCTAGGTGGTAGAGATATAACAGGGAATAAAATAGCTCTCATGGAGCCATGTTCTGTGAATTTTATGTTCGAGTGGGAGCAGTGGGCAAAAGAAAAATTTAAAATAAAGTTATATATGCTGTTAAATGGTGACAGGTGCTAAGGAGAAAAATAAAGCAAGAAAAGGAATAGCTGAGTGAGGGAGAGGAGGAAGAGGTCAGAATTCTAAATGGAGGGTAGGGGTTCTAGTAAGCCCTCACTGAGAAGGTAATGTTTAAGCAAAGACTTGAAAGAGGTAAGAGAGTCATACATATGGATAACTAAAAAAGAACACTCCAGACAGTGAATAGCCAGTTCCCTCTGAAGATAAGATCAGAGGGGTAAAAGTTCAGATCTTGTACGACCTTGTAAAGACAAGGGCTTTTACTGTGATTGAAATGAAAAGCCATTGAAGGTTTTCAGCTCAGGATGTTACGTGGCTTAATTTTTTTAAAAAGATTATTCTAGCTGTTGAATGAGGGTAGAAGAGGAAAGAAGCAGAAATAAAAGTCAGGAGACTATTTCAAAAATCCAAGCAAGAGATGACAATTGTGGCAGACAATCCCTAAAATGACTCTCAATGATTCTTGACTCCTGGTGTTTACAGTTTTGTTTAATCTCCCCCCCTTGAGTGTAAAACCCTGGGATTTGCTTCTAACCAAGAAAATATCACAAAGGTGAGAAAGATATTATCCCATAATGAGATTCAATTGTATGGCAAAGGTGATAGGAGATCACTACTGTAATTACATTACCATATATATAAGATTCATCTCGCTAGCAGAGCCCCTGGGGACATAGCCCCTCACTAGTCTTGAAGAAGTGAGCTGCCTTGCAGGAAATAGCCATGTCATAAGAGCCCTTGTAGCAAGAATCAACAGGAGGCCTCAATTGCTGAGGACAGCCTTCAGCAGTAACTGAACAACCTGAGTGTACTTTAAAGAAAATCTTCCCCCTGTCCAGCCTCGGAAAAGACTGCTACCGCCAAAGCCAATTCCTGTGCTGAAACCCAAAGAAGTGAAATTGTGAAACAGACAATCTAGTAAAGCTATGCTCAGACTTCTGACCTACAAAACTGTGAGATAATACATGTATGTAGTTTTAAGCTACAAGTTTAGTAGTAATTTGTGATGAAACAATAAAATTAACACAGCAGTGGTTCAGATTAGGGTGGTACCAGTGGTTTGAAAGTAAAGACAAAATTAAATAATTGATACAACAATAAAAGTTAAGATAGACTCCAAGGATTTTCACCTAGACAACAGAAAAGAAAAAGCTATTTACTAAGATGCGGAGACCTATGGAAGAGCAAGTTTGAAGGAGATAGCATCAATGGTCTATCTTTGGACAATTTAATTTTGAGATGCATGAAGATGGAAGTGGGAATAGGAAGTTGCATCCATCATTCTGAAACTCAATAACAAATAAGAAGCCAGATATATACTTTTGGATATACATATATGGTATACAGTGACTACCTGAGATCAGTGATATCTCAAAGTTGTGGGTGGAGAGAAATCAAAAATATCTCAAAGCGAGATCATGATTTCTCAAAGCTGTGTTTGGAGAGAGATATTGTAAGCCAGAAAACTAACAGGAGAAAAAGAAGTCATTCAAAAGAGGGCACACAGCATAAGCAAAAGCTTGGAGGGAGGAATAAGCCAAAGAGGCTATTGGTGACTTAAAGGCAGTCAGCATATTTCATTCATTTTCAAGAACCTAACAAAGCATGTGGAAACCAGAAAACCCTAAAAATGACAGGAGGCTAGTAAGAAAGGCACATGAAGCCAGCAAAATAAAATTGTCTTTAATGGGAAGTGGGAGGATGGAAGGAGAGATTAGTGACTTTCCTTCTGAGATATCTGACTTGAAAATGGCTTGTGCATCTTCTTGCAGTGTGAGAGAATTCCTCTGAAACTAAAGTGGAAGGAGTCTTGCGAAAGCCTAGTTTGGAATGAGTAGGTGCCTTAAGTTCTAGGCTCAGCTACAGGGGAACGTGATGATTATAAAGCAATCTCAAATTCATTCTGGCAGAAGGGTTGGGGTGGGGAGTAGATTTGTAGCTCAAAGATAGAAAGTAGGTTAACAAAAGAAAGTGTTCAGGTCAACTAATGGATCATGGTGCTTCCCGGATATTTTTAAAGTTTTATATTAGACTCGTTTCTTACATAAAAGTGCTTTTACCCAACAACTCTAAGTACTGTGTGTTTTCCGTATTGTGCCAGAGGTGTTATGGATGATATTAAAAAGAAAAAAGTAGAATAATAGTTATTGCTCTCATAAATCTGTATCAGCTAGATAAAAAGAAAAAAGCATACCTACAGCAAAAAAAAAAAAAAAAAAAAAAAAAAAAACAGAAAGGAATCAGGACTCAGCACTTACGCATATTTTGGAAGGATTATTAAAGTTCATAAAAAAGATAATATCTTAATACTACTATAAGTTATTTAGAAGGTAATTTTATCAACACTTCCAATAAGTTACCCTGCTATAAACCTTAAACTAAATGATATGTGTACATATCACATGTATACAGTGGGTATATGTATGACATACCTTTTTATAGATATAGGGTATAAAAAGAAGGTTTTGATCAATTTCACTGAAATACTAGATAACTAAGTATCAGGAATAACATGAATTGAGTGCTTACATATACAGTGGGTATATGTATGATATACCTTTTTATAGATATAAGGTATAAAAAAGGTTTTGATCAATTTCACTGAAATACTAGATAACTAAGTATCAGGAGTAACATGAATTGAGTGCCTATTACATGTTCAGCACTTTATGTTCAAACAGCTACTAAATGGCAGTACAGAGCTGAATACAGGCTGTAGGATCTAAAACATGGCTTTCTCCTTTCAGCTCTGTTGTCTCTGCCTCAGTGCTCCTTCCATTTCACTCTGCATGTATCAATCAGATTGACTAATTTATACATTCACACTACTCACTTTAGAGAAATCCTAAAAATAAAAATAAAAAAAAGTCACCGTGACAGATGACAATTTAGCAGGAGCACTGGAAGTTTTTCCAAATGTTGGTATGAGATAAATTACATACCAAAATAATGTACTGCCAGGTACATTTCTCTCTTGCTACTTGAACGGATGTAATAATGTACTTGGTTCTTTCCACCTCTGATTTATTGATGGCATGAGATTTGTCATTTTATTTCGGTGAAATTATATCTCTAGAGGGAATTTTCAATGGATAAAGTTAATTTGAGTTATCCTGAACTTCCAGCAAGTCTGGGAGATTTTTACAAAAGATGAACACTGTCAACCAATGAGTCAAGAAACTATATATTTTAGTTTGAATTTTTGAAAGCACAGGAAAAGGCAATTCAAAAAGCTCTTGATACTAAAAAGAACACTCAGAGGTTAAATGCCCATCAAGTATATCACCAAAAAACTTGGGGCAAATGCACAGTTGTTATTTCTTTCAACTAAACCTCGGTTAAATTGAAAGAAATAACATCTGTGCTCTCCCATTAAGAAACTGGGTTAACACAAAGATTTAGAAACATAGGTAATTTTATCAACAAAATTATGAATGCTTTATCATACCTTTGTGTGGATAGGATTTCAGGTATGATCAGCACCTCCAGATGAAAATGGAAAAGTTAGTCGAAGAGTCCACTATGTGATCATCCCAGCATCTAAGCTTTGTAAACACCTAGTTCTTTAACTGAATTCTTTCACCTTTCAGCCAGACATTGGACACTGTATACACAGACACAGAGTATATTTAAGCTTACTGAGATCTAAGCAGACTAACAGGCATACTTCCATTCAATCTCTCTAATGTGAGGAACACACATAATTACATTCTCCTAGCTAAAACAAAACAAAATGTTCCCTTCCTAAATACGGCCTTTATAAGAGACTGCACTCCATGAATTTGCTCCTTCTTCTTGATAGCATACCTTACTCCTTACCAGGGTCTTATTAATAACAATAAAACTAATATACTAAACTGTGTTATGCGTTATAATTGCTTTTTCTCATGTAATATCCACAAAAACCTTATAAATTTGGAATTTACATCTGATTTTAAAGATGACCAACTAAGGTACAAAGATGAACATTAACTGGCCCTAATAGAAGCAGAGCTGGATTTTTAAAAATTTTTATTTGTAATTAATAATAAATGTATATATTTATGGGGTAAAGTGTGACATTTTGATATATATTTACAATGTGGAATGATTAAATCAGGCTAATTAACAAATCCATCACCTCACATAGTTAACATTTTTTGCATGTTGAAAACATTTAAGATCCACTCATTTTAGCATTTTTGAAACAGGCAAGGCCGGGCACGGTGGCTCACGCCTGTAATCCCAGCACTTTGGGAGGCCGAGGGGGTTGGATCATGAGTTCAAGAGATCGAGACCATCCTGGCCAACATGGTGAAACCCTGTCTCTACTAAAAGTACAAAAATTAGCTGGGCATGGTGGCACGCGCCTGTAGTCCCAGCTACTCGGGAAGCTGAGGCAGAAGAATTGCTTGAACCCAGGAGCCAGAGGTTGCAGTGAGCCGAGACAGCACCACTGCACTCTAGCCTGGCAACATAGCGAGATTCTGTCATGAAAAAAAAAAAAAAAAGGCAATGTACTATTCCTTACTATAGTCACCATCCTGTGCAATCAATCACTAAAGCTTATTTCTCCTGTCAAGTTAAAACTTTGTATTCTTTGATCAATGCCTCCCTTTTCCCATCCGCCGCCTCCCTCAGCCTGTGGTAACCATCATTCTACTAGCTACTTCTATGAGTTCCACTTTTTTAGATTCCACACATAAGTGAGATCATGTGGTATTTGTCTTAAGTTCCTGGCTTATTTCACCTAGAATAATATCCTCCAGGTTTATTCATGTTGTCACAAATGACAAGATTTTCTCCTTTGTAAACGGTGACTAGTATTCCATTGTGTATTTATACCACATTTTCTTTGTCCATTTTTCTGATGATGGACACGTAGTTTGCTTCCACTGCTTGGCTACTGTGAATGTACTGTAATGAACATGAGAGTGTAGTATGTCTCTTTGACATACTGATTTCATATCCTTTGGATATATACACAGTAGAAGGATTGCTAGATCATATGGCAATTCTATTTTTAGTTTTCTGAGGAATCGCCATACTGTTTTTCATAATGGCTGTATTAATTAACATTCCCACCAACAGGGCACAAGATTTCCCTTTTCTCCACATCCTTGCCAGTACTTGTTATTTTTTGTCTTTTTGATAAACCCCTTCTAACAGGTACGAGGTGATATGTCATTGGGGTTTTAATTTGCATTTCCCTGATGATCAATGTTGATGAGCATTTTTTAATATATCTGTTGGTCATTTTTATGCCTTCTTTTGAGAAGTGTCCATTACCCATTTTTGATTGGGTTATTTCTTGCTATTGGGTTGTTTGCATTCCTTATATATTTTAGATTTGAACCCCTTATCAGATGTATGGTTTGCAAATATTTTCTCTCAATCAGTGGGCTGTCTCTTTACTCTCCTGATTGTGTTATTTGCTATGCAGAAGGTTTTTAGCTTGATACAATTCCATTTGTTTACTTTTGCTTTTATTGTCTGTGCTTCTGGGGTCACTGAGCTAGAATTTGAACCCAGTTCTTACTCCAAAGAAAATGATCTTTTTGGCTAGGCATGGTGGCTCACCCCTATAATCCTAGAACTTCAGGAGGCCGAGGTGGGCAGATCCCTTGAGGTCAGGGGTTCAAGACCGGCCTGGCCAACATGCTGAAACCCTATCCCTACTAAAAATATAAATTATAATATATATAAAATATATATATATATAAATATAATATAAAAATTAGCCAGAAATCACTTGAACCTGAGAGGCAGAGGCTGCAGTGAGCCGATATCATGCCACTACTGCACTCCAGCCTGGGCAACAGAGAAAGATTCTATCTCCAAAAAAAAAAAAAGAAGAAAATGATCCTTTAGTTGCTAGATACTTACATGCAGCTTTAATGCTTAAAATACTATAGAAATACTATCTGCAAGAAAATATGCCCTGGAAGCTGAGGCTTATAATGTATAATTTCTTTGGTAGTGCTTTTCTTATATAATGAGGGAAAACAAAATGCATTTTCTCAATACAATTTAAGAGTATGAGGCAAATCTCCCAACTTCTGGAAAGTCCACTTCCCCTCTTGTTCTCAGCTTCATTGTATTTTTGTAACGTTCCCTTATTTCAGGGACGATCCCAATAAATAGCTTTTAAGTCATTACTGACCCAATTTTTACCAGAGGCCCCCCGAGAATTGAATTCAAATTTAGGCTTAAGAAGGAAAAAGAATCTGAAAGAGTTTCTCCATTCCATTCTCTGCTATTTCTCTGCCTTTGACCATAACCTCCAAGTCACTGGCTGCACTGGAAAAAAAAAAAATGAAGATACATGGAGGGAAAGGAAGGGAAAAGTAACAATGAATAGAGGAAGACAGTATTACAGTTTTCAAGAGTTCAGAAATGGATTGCAATTAGAGATTTGGAACCATGAACTGAGAATTTCAGTTGCTTTTATATAAACAATGGCTCTGCTATCGGAATTCAAGAGAGAAAAGAGTTTCCTTACAGTAGGCTAAAGTCCCAGCCCTCCTCCAATTTGTTTTACATCTTCTACAACCTAAAAGTATTATTAACTTTTGAGTTGTAGAAAGAGAATAGATGCTTTTAATCACTGACTACTTCAATGAACATAATCTACATTTCTTTTCTCATCCTCTTGATTAGTTTTTTGGGGGATTTGCTCCTCATGCACAAACAACAGAAATAAGATTCAAAACTTGTTCCTCCTAGATAATACCAATAGCAGCCATAAACAAAGGCAAAATCTGTGATTTTACATTGTATGCTGAGGGATGAAATTAGGTATTACATTGGGGAATGAAAGTAGTAAGCCAGAAAATAAAATGTCCATAATTTAAAAGTAAATACAAGTAAAAGAAAAAAAATGTGTCACTTGAAAGACACAGGTTTTGATGACAGCATAATTCAACAGATTTAAATAAATATTAAGATGTTCACTTAAACACATAGCCTATTTGTCTAAAAATAGAGAAATATTCTGTCATTCATTTTCCCATTTTAACTGGATGATTTTGAGAATGGAGAGGACTGGATGGAGTCCCCAAATGTTTTTGTTTTTGTTTTTGTTTTTTACTTTTAACCAGATGTTTCAGAATGCAGCCTCTTCTTTCCTCAGTGTGATATTTTGCAGTCCCCTCCTTTCTGCTCTTCTACCCTGTCCCATCTCTAAACTTGTCACTGCTAAACATCTTGTTCTGCAAGTATAATATAGAAAAAAAGAAAGATTTGAATTCTAGCAGAAAGAACTCTTAAGTGCAAAGTTTTTATGAGTAAAGCTTAAATTATTTCTAAAGATACATACTACTGTATCTTAAATAATTGTTAACTCTTATTTAATAAAAATAAAATTAAATGTCAGTGAATTTCTTAGATGATGGAAGAGAGATCAAACCAACTAAAACTGATTTTACCAAACTATACAAATGCCTTTTGTGAAACTGCCATAATACCTGAGACTGTTACACCAGCAGCAACTATGAAAGCCTGTATTTCCAACTGAGACACTCTTCTTCATAAAAAAAATGCATTGACTTGTTCTATAGGTCTTAATGATACGGACAGGAGGCAGAGAAATACTGGGTAGATGAGGGCAGTTCACGGGAGGGCTCCACCCTCGAGTCTGGAACTGTGGCCCAAAGTGAGAACTTTACATCCTCGTTTTCCCAATCCAATGTTGCCTTTTCCAAAACCACCCTGGCCCAACTGGCCCCCCATCCTGAACCCATGGAAATCCCAGGCTCCACTGGCAGAGGAGCAGCAGAGAAGAAGAGAAGAAAAGAAGCAGCCAGACATCAGAGAGAAGCAGCTTGACTTCAGTGGGATGGCTGGATGGTAGGACTTTGGAGAAGAGCCTGGCTGGGGATGGCCAGACTACAGGGGAAGATCACCTTCCCACTCCATTCCTTTTACAGCTCCGCTTCCAGCAGAAAGCTACTTTCATTGGCAATAAAATCCTCCATATTCACCACCCTTAAATTCATTCCTATGACCTGATTCTTTCTAGGTGCCAAACAAGAGCTTGGGAGTCACAGGTGCAGATGTTTGAGCTGTTTAGCACTTAAGCCATTCACAGACAGCAACACGAAAAGACCACTGTAACATACAATGTCTAGGGCTCAAGAGGTCGCTGGTACCGCTTAGACACTGCCGTGGAGCCACAGAGAGTTCTGCTCTTGGCTGTATCCAGAAGCACTCATCCTGGCTCCTGCAGGCACTCACCTGTGTGCTGTCATGAGTCCCATGAAGGGGTCAGGGAAATATCCTGCATCGTTAACACCTACTCTTGCTTTACAAGAATTTATCACAAAGTTTTTCCAAAGTCTAGAATTTGCACCAGGTTGTTGAGTGTTGTTAATTTAGGATACATTTTTGAATAACAGTAAAATTAAAATATCTGAAGAAAATACCTAGCCAAGGCTACTGTCATCAAGTTACAGAATCATGTTTCTATACTAACAAGTAACGAGAAACCAAATAGTAAATCCTGAGTGGTTTTCAAGAGGAAATGATGATAATCATTGTTTAAATATTTAAAACATTTCCCTGAAAAGTAGTTTAACAAAAAAATCAATTCTGATTTACCAGTTAAAGAATATTCTGTGGATATATAAATGGATATTATGGCCTAATATAATAAAGCCATGGGTATTAACTATTAATGATGCAAATAACTGACAGACTTGCAAAGTTGATACTTCCATATTTATTATTTTAACAATATTTTGTTTTTCTAAGTGAAAAGTAGAAAAAAAAACACATGAAGCCATTTTTTCTAGATAGAAGAAAGTTCATAGGAGAAAAAAGATACAAATACACATAGATGTAAATATAGATACAGATAGATACTGACATAAACATACTAATCCACAAAGCTTTTTGCATTATTAGGCTTGGAGGAGATAAAAGGATATATCAAGGAGGCAAAGGCAAAGGCAAAAAAAGAGAATAAAACCAGAGCAAAAAGTGGTAAGAAAATGTGACAGCCTAAATTGCTTGAAAGACAAGTGCCACTATCAGTACTGCAATGAAAACACTGAGCGTTGGTATAGAAGGAAAAAGGGAGCACTAAATGCAAGATTCATGGATTAAGCCAGGAACCCTGGAAGAGGGCTAAAGATTTGTAACATTCCCTGCTGTCAAGCTGAAACAACTGTAAATCCTCTCTGAGGAAAGCTTCCACAATACAGAGTTATAGGATATATATATATATATATATAACTTAAATATCATAACTATATATATAACTTAGATATCATACATATATAACTTAGGTATCATAACTATTATAGCTATTCACAAATATTCACATGACTATTACATTCACACGACTATTATAGCTATTCACAATAAAAATCACCCAACATGCAATAACACAAACCAACGTAAGTGTGAATCAACAGAAGTACAGGCAACAGTCATAGGTATCCAAGAACTTGAGGTGTTATAATTTTTGGGTAGAAATTATAAAATATCTATGTATGAGATATTTAAAGATAAAATAATTGCATTTTTTAAGTGAGCAAGCAACAAGATACTATCAAAAGTGGTTAGAAAAACCTGAAACAACAACTAAATAAGACATTCTAGAAATGAAACAAAATGTATTATTGAAATACAAATATTTAATGGATAGATTAAATCTCAGAATAGGCAAAACTGAAAGAAAATTCATGAATTCACCAAAGACATTACTCCAAAAGCAGCACAGAGAGAAAAGCAGATAAAAAATTTGAAAGAGATATAAGACAATATGGAAGATAGAGAGGAGCTAATGTTTATTAATTCATCTGTCCTATAAACATTCAAAGAACATTCAGTAAGTGTCTCTTATGTATTAGGCACTTTCTAGACCCTGAGGGAATGAAGTAGAGAAAAAAAAATACAAAGCAGGTAGGAAGTAGGTTGTGGGTCAGATGATTATGGGTGCTATGAAGAAAATTAATAAAGGGAAAGAGGATACTCAGAGTTCCAAAAGAGAGGAGAGCTAGAACAGAAGAGAAGCTACATTTAAAGCAATATTGGCTATAAATTTTCCAGAAATAATGAAAGAAATGAATCCAAAGGTAAGAAAGTATAATCTATACTAGGCAGAATACATAAAAGTAAATGTGCATGTAGATATGTTGCCATGAAACTACGGAAACTCTATGAAAATATTTTTAAATTAGTAAGAGAGAAAGTATTTTTATCCATGAAATAAAAACAACCAAACTGACAGATTTCTCAACAACAAGAATGGAAACCATAAGACATTTAATCATTTATTCAACAAATACTTATTATTTACTATGGCTATGGATAAAAAAGTAAACAAAATAAACAAAAATTCCTGCCCTCCCAGAACTTACATTTTAACAGCTGAAGATTGACAACAAGCAAACTAATAAACAAAATATTTCTTACTGATAAGTGATATGTCATAACAAAGAAAACGTAAGAGATGGGAAAGAATGACATTGTGGGAAGTGGGAAAGAATGCTAGGAAGGCGTGCAGTTTTAATTACAATATCAGGAAAAGCCTCAAGAACAAAACATTTGATCAAAGCCCTAAAGTGAGGGAGGGAGCTTAGAATTTGTAGCAAAAGTGCTTCATTAAGTTTATTGCCTTGAGTGGAGCAAGACTTGTATTTTCCAAAATCAAAGGAAGCTAATGTGTCTGGAACAGAGGGAGACAAAAGGAAAATTTGATAGTCATGAGGTCAAAGAAGAAACATGAGCAGAGGGCATATTGTATAAGAACTTGTAATCCATTGCAATAACTTTGCCTTTTACTCTGAGTGAGATATGAAGTCATCAGAGGGTTTTAAATATATAAGTAGTAAGAGGACTGAATAATGGCCCGAATATAAAATGTTATAGACACTTGGCAGTTTCTTGTAACATTTAACATGCACTTATGCTATGACCTAACAATTTCACTCATAGGGCTTTTCTCAAGACAAATGAAAATATATGTCCACAAAAAGATTTGTACAAGAATGTTCATAGGTGCTTTATTTATAATATTCAAAAACTAGAAACAAGTCAAATGTTCAACAACAGAAGATGGACAAACAACTGTGGTACATCCATACAATAAATATCACTCATAGTACTGAGCAATGAAACAAGAATTAATCTTACCTAAGCATATAATAGGCAACTCTGAAAACAAGAGATAATTTTTTAAAGTAGACTGAGAAAAAAGAAACATTATAATCAGGGGAAAAATACTTTTTGATTGATTTCTCATCTGAAATAATTGAAGCCAGATGATCATGGAATAGTATCTTTAAATTGCTGGCAGAAAAAAGAGCTGTCAACCTAAAATAACATACACAACAATTTTTTTTTCAAAAATGAAAGCAAAACAAAGCCATTTTCATATAAAGAAAAGCTTTGTTAGACTTTGTTATCAGGACATACCCAATATATCCAGAGCATAAGGAAACCTAAAGGATGTACTTCAGACTAAACAGAAATAATACAAGATGGTAACAAGGGTACACAAAAAATAATGATGAACACTATGAATGATGAATACATTAGAAAATATAAAGAAGACTTTTTTATTTATTTATTGAAAGAGAATTGTGTAAAGCAAAAATAGAAACACTGTATTTTTACATATTAACATGTAGAGGTAAAATATATAATAATAGCACAAGTGATGTGATTGGAAGGATGGAATTATAGTGTTTTCAGGGTACTATAGTATACATAAAGTGTTACAGTATTCAAAGTCAATTGTGACAACTTATGTGTGATACTGTTACACTAGAGTGACCGCTTAACATTATAAAGACTATAGTTAAAAGGCATATAGATAAAATCAGCTCTCAGAATTATTTATTTAACTGTAAAGAAAGAAGGAAGAAAAGAACAAGAATCCTTAGGACAAATAAAAAATAAATAGGAAGATGGTGGCATTAAAGACAAATGCATTATATTAAATGTTAAGAAACTAAACATCCCACTTAACATTATCAGATGAAAACAGTATTTTTTTTATAAAAAGCAAGATGCAAAACAAGATTTTTAAAATAAATACACAAGAAGTTGAAAATGAAAAGAACAGAAAAGATATACTACATCTACCTGCCCTCTTCTTCACACTGAGTATACAGTTATACCAAGACATCTCTGCCTAAAAATCTATTAAATAAAGAGCTGGTGTTATATTTCCAGAGTGTAACCGGAAAGTAATTAGTTCTATAGTTTTCAGATGTTAAAAGTTGCCTTTCTATAGCTAGGACAAAGTATAATTTGCAACTATACTCAAGGTCTATATCTGGTGAGGTATACATAGTTAGTCTTTAATCACTTGTTTATATTTACGCATTACACTTAGTGAGAAATTATAGCCTATTGCCCCTCCCAGCTGTTGATTCCAAGGCTTTATTTCACACTGGACAAACAAGGAGTGGGTTTTCAAATGTTCCTTGTTCATCTTTTGATTGTACCATCCAATATTAGATAAGGCCTTTTTTGCTATCCATGAATGAAGATTTGCAATTAACAGTGAACATCCTAGCCAGACAAAGAGTTAGAGGCAGAAATGCCCAATAGATAAATAGGAGACAGTGAAAAACCAGTGATTTTCTTCCACATCATATTATCTTTATCTACAAGG
This sequence comes from Homo sapiens, assembly GCF_000001405.40. Classification (NCBI taxonomy): domain Eukaryota; kingdom Metazoa; phylum Chordata; class Mammalia; order Primates; family Hominidae; genus Homo; species Homo sapiens. Next base: position 53,147,401 of record NC_000002.12, read on the forward strand.
CCAAAAATTAATCTTAAAAACAAAAAAAAAATAACTTCAAAGACTGAGTCTTTATTCCTGCCACCTTCAGTTGAAAACAGACCTTTCCTCCCATCCATTCTATTATTTCAAAATAAACACGGGAGCCCCAAAGAGATAAATCATGGGGAAAGAGTTGGACCAGGTCACTGGCTCATAATTTTTCATTTCAGAATACATCTGAATGCAAGATGAGGAGCTTAAAATCAAATTGACATATAATAAAAAAATCAGAAGTTAATTTCCAGTTTAATTAAAGGTATAATATGCAATATAAGCCCACATGTAATCCAAAAAAATTATGAACTATTTTGCTTTTCTGCATTTTCAAAATCCTGATGTGACAGAATTATTACATTGAAAAATTCCTAAACAAAGACAGAAGATAGATCTAGAAATAAAACACAAGATAAAAATATAATTGGCCCATGTAGTTCAACACAGTTCATTTGGTGATCAGAACTAAATATCTTCAAAGAGAGAAATATAATCATCATAGAAGTGACATAAAGTGAAAAGTATATTTATGCAAATGAATGTATAAATGCATTCCCATTATTGATTACTGTGAATTTTTATGAAATTCAAAAATCCTATGTAAGAAGTTGTTTAATTCTTTATTGGAAAGTTCACTATAGTCAGCAATTCCAACGCAATTCTTCCAGATGATTAGGAGCATGTCTCTTAAAATTTCTTAGCTTTAATTTCCACATATGAAAACAAATGTACGAAGTTAGATGATCCGTAAGTTTTTTGTTCAAGGCGCTCTGATATGTACTTAACACAAAAGGTAGAATTTATGTTTCCAAGACAAAATATTTTCCTACTGTTATTAAAGACAACATTTAATTTACGAAACACTTTACATTTGTTAAAGTACTTTAACATATATTACCTCATTGGATTCTCACAACCAACCAGCAATAAGTGTTACTCTAAATCTGAGACTTGGAAAAAGCAATGACTTGTTCAATCACTGGAACTTTAACCTAAGACACCTCATTATAAGCCAATTTTGGCAAATGTAGAATATTGAAAATCCAGCTTAATATTACACAAACACACACAATTCGAACAGTTCATTCTCAAGCATCTATGGACACCTTTCAAAATGCTGTGGTCATTCTGAGTTCTGTAGTATAAGAATGCTTGACTTCTCGTGATCAGTTCTAGCTTAAAGAAATGCAACTCAAGAGAAGTAACATATAAATATTAAACAAATGTGAACAAGTCCCTGTTTCTTGGTTAGCAGTATTCACTGAATTTTTTAGCTCAATGTAAGCTGACATTACCAATTTTCTCATGGGCTGAATTGTCCCATCCTTCCCCAAGACTTAAATGTTGAAGTCTTAACCCCCATTACCTCAGAATGTGACTCTATTTGGAGATAGGATCTTTAAATAGGTAATGAAGTTAAAATAAGGTCATTAGAGTAGGCCCTAATCCAATACGACTCTTGTCCCTATAAGAAGAGGAGATTAGGATACATATGTATACAGAAGGAAGACCATGTGAAGATACAGGGAAGATGACCATCTGCAAGCCAAGGAGAGAGCCCTCAGAAGAAACCAGCCCTGCTAACACCTTGATAACCAACACTACTAGCTGCAAGAAATATGAGAAAATAGATTTATATTGTTTAAGCCACCCAAACTGTAGTACTCTATTATGGTTGCCCTGGGAAACAAAATCCTGTCTTCTTGTAATTTGCTGCTGCTACTGCTGCCATTGCTGAAATTAATGTCCACAGAGCACAAATGACCTACTCAAAGTAACAAAGCAAGTTACTGGAAGAGCTGGACTGGAACCCAAATCCCTAGAAACCAATCTCATTTTTAAATAAAAATCCAATGTATGAGAGAGAAAAAAAAAAACGAATTGATACAAGAGTTAAAAAGAAATTACTTAGGCAGATAGTGAGGGTATGGAAGTCCTCAGTAAGGTTTTCCTTGTAATGAAAAGCAGCCCCAAATCATTTTCCTTTCTAACAAAGAGCAGCCTGTAAAATTGAGCTGCAGACATAGATGCCAGCAGTTGTGCCAATCATATTCAAAATGGCGGCTCTATCTTCCCTTCTCTGTCTGCCACGTGTACAGTAAGGAGCAGACAAGATGAGGCCTGCCAAAGGGAGAGTTCATTTGCATAGTAAGATTAGGGTGGCGCTACCAGCCTTCCCTGCAGACTATGTAAACATCACACCTGATCAAACCAATCTGTGAGCCCAATGTAAATCAGACACTGCCTCCTCTAGCTGGACTATAAAATCCGGGGCCTCCACCACCAGTTGGTCTTTCCTCTCCAAAGTCCCCTCTCTCTCAATAAAGAGAGAGCTGTTTTTCTTTCTCTTTCTTCTGCTTATTAAACCTCAGCTCCTAAACTCCTTGTGTGTGTCCATGTCCTAAATTTTCCTGGCGCGAGACGACGAACCCCGGATATACACCCCAGACAACAGAGCTGCTTCAGAATGATGAGATGAATTAAGGGAAAAAATGTTTATTTTTTTGTGAAACTCCTGAAGACATTCCTAGTAATCCACAGAGCACCATCTGAAAATCAGTGCATTTAAAAGGCTGACATATTACATAGACATTAGTAGAGAAGTTGTGAAATAAATTGGTTTTGAATCTTCCCTTTAGACTTCAGGTAATAAGCCACCTATTATTATAGAAAATCAACACACATAGGATGAGAAATATTTTCTGTAGTTGGTGAAACAAGATATAGAGGTTTAATTATAGCATTGAAGGTAGAAAAGTAACCAATAGAGAAACTAATACATTTTATAACTACACCAGGAGGAAAAAGGAGAGGGGGTAAAAGAGGATATGTATGGTTAAGCTAAATCTTTAGCAAAGTAGAGTAGGAAGCTTAATGTCTCAACCCAGAAACAGCCACATAAACATTTATTAACCAGGTGAAAGTAACCACCAGAAGAAACCAGAAATAGCCAGAAACTATTGACTATGGAGCTATGGGAGTAGAGATGAAGAGGCATGAGCAGGAAACTGTATTTTCATTATAAGCACTCCTGTAGTAGTAATTGTTGTAGTAGTTGTAGTAGTGAGAGAGAGAGAGAGTGTGAGTGTGTGTGTGTAAGGGTGTGGGTGGGGAGAGAGGGAGGGACAGATTTTCTCTTTAAAGCAAAGAGGAAGAAAAGCTTTCATAGAGTTAATTCCTCTTTCCATATCCAACAAAGGGAATAGTAAAGTCTATTAGTATGCACACACAGAAATGTAATTCCAAAAAAAAAATACCAGTAAGGACAAAAATTACTAATCTGTTCCAGGTTGACTTCTATAATATTAAGCTACTACAGAACCAGTCAAGCGCCTTCCCAGTCTTCCCTAAAAAAAGTTTTACCAAGGCAGAGAATTCCACTCTTTGCCTGCTGGGAATAAAGTCAAATCAGATCTATCCCTTGCTGTCACCCCTGAACCTCCCTCCTCCTACAGTGGAAAAAAAAAATTGTTTTAAAAACACACAAATGAAGCACTTTATATACTAAGGTGGAATCTGCCTGTCCTCTGGTGGAAGACATTAAATTTCTATAGAATTCAATTTTGGTGCTAGAAATTCAATTCCAGACCACTCTATCATTTATTTTACTTCCCTGGACTGTTGAAGAATTGAAACAAAGTATGTATTTTGTTTTTCCCCTAAATATGAAGGCCCCAAAAATTGGCAATTTTTCTCTCTAAAAAGGAAGTCATGAAGGATGTATTAAAAATCATAAGATAACCCAAAAATCTATCTTCCTTTAAGGATATTAAGATCAACTATAAAAAGGTCTCTTGAAAATTACATCCTAAAACATAAAATCATATAACTTTGATCAATTTTGTCATAAACTGGCAGAATAGAAAGTTCCTTTTAATAACAATTGCTTCTCTAGAATAATGTCTACATTCAATAGAATGTAGAAGTTGTTACATTTCAATGTCAAGTCTCAGTTAAGGATGATAGCTACATTTGCCAAAACAATGCATAACATGTAAGGCTGATGCATCTTGAATTCACAATAATATTGAAGGAAAAATAGGTAGGTTATTTTTAAACTAGGAAACTAGCAGCATCATTAATCTAGTTAGATCTACGTAATTAAGAGTTGCCAATATGCACTGCAAGTTTGGTTTATAGCAAAAAAAAACAAACAAAACAAACACAAAACACGTGCTCTCTTCGGCCTTGATACATAAGGAAAACATATGCATTGTCCCGTCATAATCCACTGTATTGCAATTGTCTAAGCAGTGTCTTTTCCACAGGGACATTTCCATTCTTCTTTCTGAAGCACTGCCAATTTCGTGGAACTATTTGGATGTTTCACTCCATTACTTTCAAAGCCACCAAGTTTATATGATCCAAAGTAATTTAGAAACACCTTAGAGTCATTGGAAATTTTAAATCTTAAGTATGTCTCTAAAGTGGTGAGTTCTTTTATTATTTTTATTTTTAATTGACAAATAATAATTATACATATTTATGGGGTACAACGTGATATTTTGATACATGCATATAATGTGTATTGATCAAATCAGGATAATTAGCATATGTGTCACCTCAAACATTTATCCCTTCTTTGTGGTGGGAACACTGAAAATCCTTTCTTCTACCTATTTTGAGATATACACTACCTTATTTTTTGCTATTGTCACCCTACTATGCAATAGGACACCAGAACTTATTCTTCCTTCCTGATTGTAAATTTGTACCCATTGACAAACCTCTCTCCACCCTCCTATTCCCTTCCCTAGTTTTCATTAACCTGTTCCATTCACTACTTCTATAAGAGCAACATTTTTAGATTCCACCTAAGAATGAGAACATGCAGTATTTGTCTGTGTCTGGCTTATTTCACTTAACAAACATAATGTCCTCTAACAACAACAACAACAAATGTAGTGCTTAATGTCCAAAAAATATGGACAGCACGCTCATGAAGATTCTAACTTCTCATTTAGACACAAATTCTGAAATGGTTTCCAGTAGAAACTGGGTTCTCAATTCCTGGCTGGAACAAAAAACGTCCACCAATGCCATCAAGCAAAATGAGTAGGTCTCTTTTTGGACCTTTTGAGTGTAATGACTAAATTCTCAAACACTGCAGAAATTACTTGTTTTTTTATGGAAAGGTCACTGCTTAGTATATATGACATACACATCACTCTCAAAACTTGACCTTACTGCCATTGTTACATGTTTTGATTCAAACAGGCTTTGCTTCAAGCGAATACCTACCTAATTAAACATCTCTGATCTAGGGATATTAGCTGTAGAGTAGACATTTCTTCTGAAACATGGAACTTAAAGGAGAAATAACCAGTTGGGTCACATCATTATATCAATTCTCATAAAAGCTAGAAAGCAATTATATAGTTTCTTGATTGTGCTGCAGCAAAGACAGTATCAGGATAATTACACAAGACTTCAGTAGATGCCTTTTTTTTTTTTTTTTTTTTTTTTTTTAGAATTCTTCATCCCACCATTCAACTGAAGAAAAAAACTCTTAGTTTGTTACTAGATATGAAAGTGGAAAGAACTTTTCACTATCAGATAAAAAGCTTAATGTAGGCTATAGATGCAGGTTCAGAAAACATGACAATATTCCTTAAGAGAGATTTATTGCCTTTTTGAGTTACTTCCATTGATTTTTCCTGTCTACACACCTATGCTTCTTGCTGCACCACAATATTCTATTTTCTATTTGGATACTTATATTTACCATATGCCTACTACTAACTCATCTTTAATACATTTTTTATGGATTTTTAGGGTGACCTTAGCAGACCATGCCTTTATTTCTTGCTTTAAGATGAACACTCCTTTCAAGTAATCTCTAAAGATTCAGGCCAAGGTCAGCTTCTCCAATGCTAGCACAAATAGGAAAATAAATTGCAGGTTATGTTACAAGCAAGTTTAGGTTTTATACTTCTATCTATAAAATAGTGCCATAATATTGATATGGCTGATATTTAAAATATTATTAAATAATTTGACTTCCGTGATTGGAGAATAGTATTAATTCATTACAACTGAATATGTATGACTTTTTAAACACTATTTCTTGTCTAAGAAGATGACTTAGACAATGCTTGGAGAGTAGCAGAATAGTAATATAAAGCACAGCATTAAGTAAGAGCTTGTTAAATGTTATTGAATAAATAGTAATGATTCTACTGGATATTTTTTTAAACCAAAAGCCTGCTCAAAAAGGAAAGAACAGATTTTGGTGGCTACAAAGCCTGATCCAAATTTGAGCTCACCTAAAATAGAAAGATATCCTGTGACTTTTGCACACTCACAGGATAATGACTCTTCACGTGGACACAGATGACCTTAAAACACTGTAAGAAGCACCTGTTTAATGAACAAAAATAAATTTGATAGTTTTTATTAGCAATTATTGGAAAAGCCCTTGGTACTCATCTCATCCATTCTTACTCTCACAGTAACACTCTACCTCCCCCAAACTGACTGTGGTCTACTGGGTCTGTCTGAACACCTCCAACAACAAGGAAGTCACTTCCTGCCATTAGCCCATTCAATTTGGACAAGTGCATTCTTTCTTTTTTGACTCCCAAATCTACCTTCAACTGAGTTGACTGCATTTATTTAAGTTTTGGTCTCAAGACTTTTGTAGTTAGCTAAATTCCATGACACTTTTTTACATAAATTCTTATATCATCTAGTCTCTTGGGTCTACTTGTGAAATTTAGTGTGAAACTGCTTTGTCCCCCATTGTATTTTAGGTCCATGTTATAAATTTACAATATATTTTCATTGTGAAATATTTTAAACATACAAAAAAGCCTAAAATAATAAAAATAAATATTCATGCACCAACAAACATTAATAATTTTCGTGTTTTCTGTGTTTACTTTAAATATTAAAACAAAGCACATCAGGGCAAAACAACAAGGAAAATCTTCACAAATACTGTTGAATCACTTTGTGTGACCTTCCCAAATCCTATCTCCTTCCCTCTCTCCCCAGAAGTAACGACCATATTTAGTTTACTCTGAATCATTTCTCTGCATGTTATAATTTTACTCATACATATGTTTACACCCATAAACAACAGAGTAATAGTTAATAGCTTTTAAATTTCCTATACATGATTTTCTTCTTCTCCATACACATGGTATATACATACATATTATATATAATATATAATATGTATATATAATATATAATATATATATATATACCTCACTCTCTGCAACTTGCTTTACCCTCCTTAACTTCCAAAGTGTGTCTGGGTTGATACATATGTCTCCAGTTAATTCATTTTAACCACTGAATAACAACAACAACCAAAAGCATGCTGCAATGAGAACCGTATACTTGGGACACATAGGAAAGTTTCTCCACAGTATAAACCAAGACGTGAAGTTACTTGGCTGTAGGAAAGTGGCATCTTCAACAATTAGCACACCAAAGGGATTGAATCAATTTATATACATTCCAGTGGTGTATATTAGGCCCCCATTGCTTCACTTTCTTGACAACACTTAGTATAGTACTTTAGACTTTGTGGCAATCTAGTGGGAATTATATTTCATTGTGGTTTTATTTTCATTTCCCTAATTACCAACAAGGCTGAGTGCCTTTGCTTACGGTCCTTGGCATTTCAATGCTGTTTGTCTGTGATCTGCCTGTTTATATGATTTGTCTTTTTTTTCCCTCTTGAGTTTCTAGTCTTTGTCACTTTTTAAATTTTTACTTTGTATATTCTGACACAAATCATTAAAACCTCCCCAAATTTTGTCTTATTACTTTATTCATAGTCACGCAGACATTTTTAGTGCTAATGTAGTTGAATGTATGAATATTATCCTTTATTGTTTGTTCCTACTGTGTCTAGCATAAAAAATTTTTCCCTGCTGTGGGTTCAAAAAAATTATCTTTGCTTTCTTCTAAAACATAAAATTATGGTTTTCACTTTTATGTTTTTAATCTTCTTGGGACATAGCCTTGTGTATATGGGATAGAAACCATATATTATTTTTTTATCCAAAAAGCTAAGCTTTGTCCCTGTATCATTTATTAAATAATTCAGTCTTTTTCTGTTGATTTATAATGTTACCCCTGTCATTTGTTGTATTTTCATATTTTAGTGATTCATTTGAGGACTCTCTATTATGTTCCATTATTCTATTTAATTCTTGAAATAAAACCACACTTTTTACACACTGTATAATTGCTTTATTTTATAATTGGCTTTGACGTCTGGTAGGAAAGAACCCTCATCATGTTCCTCTCCTTCAAAATTGCCTTAATCATACTTGGCTTTTTGCTCTTCAATGCACATTTCAGGATTGGTTTGTCCAGCAAAATTCCTGCTGAGGTTTAGACAGAAATCACATTAAATTTATAGGTTAATTAAGTGAAAATTCACATTATGTGACCCTGTACAGGACAATGTTACACCTTTGTATTCCACTTAATCATACTGTAAAACCTTCAATAACATTTCATATTTGTTTCAATGAAAACCTTGAATAGTTTTCTTGGATTTATTTCCAGTTATTTAGCTCTTTGTTCTGCAGACACATGGAAAGAATACATATTCTCTTTATATGGGTTACAGAAGTTTAAATATATTTTAGATTAAGCTTGTGTTTTCTTGTTCAAACATTCTCAATCCTTTTAATTTTTTTAATGGTTTGCCTCCGAATTTCACAGAAGCATATTAAATTATCCCACTCTGATTGTTGATTTTTCAAATTTACCTTGCACTTCTGTCCATGAGGGCAGGAATTTTTGGCTCTTTGTTCACTTTTCCTCCCCAGTGTTCAGAGTGATACTCAGCATCCAATAGACATTAAATAAATAATTGTTGAAAAACAATTGTTTTATATTCTTGGTAAATGTTTTTATTAAGATGCAGCATCCTTTTTTATTCCTGTACATGATTTTTGCCTTAAATTTTATTTTGTCTGATATTAGTTTTGACACAATAGCTTTATTTTAACTTGTACTTCTTGATCTATTCTTTCCCCCCGATTCCTTTAGGTTCAATCTTTCTGTGTGGTTTTGTTTTAGGTCTTTCTTTTGTTAGTATTGTACAGTAGGATATTTTGAAATCATATCTGATAATCTCTGTATTTTAATGGGCTGATATTTGCCTCACTGACTTATGTAATAACATCCTAATTTATCTTCTGTTTATCAACCTTTCTTTTTGCTTGCTTTTATTTGCCCTTTTTATTTCCTCTACTGGAATTCATAAATGCATCATATTATCCCTTTGTTGGTAGCATGCTACGGATTATATATCTATTCTTTCAGTAATTATCTGTTTTTTTTCAAATTTGTATTGTGGTAAAGTACATATAACATAAACTTTATCAACCTGAACTATTTTTAGGTGTACAATTCAGTGATATTAAGTACATTCATATTATTATACAACCACCACCACCCATTTCTAGAATTCTTTTCATCTTGCAAAACTGAATCTCTATGGCCATTAAACAATAACTTTCTATTCACCTCACCTTAGCCCCTGTCAACTAGCATTCTATTTTCTGTCTTTATAAATTTGATTACTGTAGGTACCTTATATAAGTGGAATCATACAGTATTGCCTTTTTGTGACTGGTTTATTTGACTTAGCATTATCTCCTCAAGGTTGGTTCATCCATTTGCAGCATGTGTCTGAATTTTCTTCCTTTTAAAGGCTGAACAACGTTCCATTGTTATGTACATCTCACATTTTGCTTATCCATTCATCTGTTGATGGACACTTGGGTTGTTTCCACCTTTTAGCTATTGTAAATTATACTGCTATGAATATAGGCATACAAATACCTTGCGACTCTGCTGTTGATTCCTGGAGGTATACACCCAGAAGTGAAATTGCTGCATCATATAGTCATTTTATGTAATTATTTAAGGAACCACCATACTGTTTTCCATAGCAGGTGCATGCACCGTTTTACCTTCCCAATGACAGTATAAAAGAGTTCCAATTTCTCCAAATCCTCACCAGCATTTTTTTAATAGTAGCCATACTAATAGGTGTGAGGTAGTAATTGTCCTCAAACTTTTAGCACTCATACTTAAGTACAAATTGTGATAACAAAGCAAAGATGATTCTAAATGTTCACCTCATCCTAAACATGTCACAGATCCAAGAACAGTTTAACTACTCAGTGAAGTTATTCTCTTTTCTCCTTTAATTCCTTTCCAGTATTTTACCCTTATTTTTTGAAAGGTTATGTTATAATCAATATACATTTTATGTATTAATTGTTGAGCTAATGACATTTTTCTCCTAAAGTAGTTTTAATAGAAGTTTGAACTCTCAATTGTTATAGATCTGAAAGTAATTCCTAAATGATAGTATAGCTGAAAATAAAATTCTAGGTTGAACTCCAACTTACTGCAGCACTTTGAAGCCACTGCTCTGCTTTTTCTAGTAACTACTGGTGTTGAGAAGAAGTCAGCTGTCTATCTAAGTGGCATTCATTTGAAGTAAATGTATCTTGTCTTTCTGGGTTCTTTCAAGAGTTTCTTTTTGTTATTAACATTCTTTAGTTTCACAATAATCTGTCAAGTTATAGGTTTATTTTATTCATCCTGTCAGTCTCAGGACTTATGGATTTTGGTCTGGAAATTTGCAGATTTTTGCCTGAAATATTGATATTTCACAAGCACTTGCCATCCTCCTCTAAAGCTCCTTTGTCTTCTGCGTCTTCTAACTACTCACTTGTATGCTTTGCCTCTCTGTGGGCTCATTTGAGTGAATTTCTCAGCTTGCCTCTGGTTTGCAAACTCCCTCACCATGTATAGTTTATTTAATTTGTTGCATTTAAAAATATTTCAAGGTCATGTTTTTTCATTTTTCATTGTTCCCTTTTACATAAGCATCCATCCTTGATTTTTGTTTTTCTATTTTATAATGTCATGCTTTTTAATGAAAATATTCTTGAAGTATTCTAAATAAACTTATTTTAAATCCATTGTGCTACCATTCTGTAAGAAGAATATCTTTGGGAATGAAATTCTTCTGAGTGTTGATGAGCTTTTAGAGCATTACATTTACTCATGTGTTTTGGAATTTGGGTTTGCACATCTTGAATATCTTGTTTTGAATTTTTTAATGTTATTTTCTCCTTCCATCCTTTTCTGAGTTCCCTGTCTACACTGAAAGGATTTGAAGTTATCACTTTTCAAACCCCCAGGGCCCTCAGGTCCTAACAAAATTTTGGGGCTCTTCCCATTGTGATGTTAAAAGTGCACAAACAGGTAGTGAGCCACTAGGACACAGCTCAGTTTAGTGCCAAATGGGAAACCGTGTGGGATCTTCCTTTTGTCTAGTTTAGCTGCTTGCTTACATCCTGTTATGGACTGAATGTTCACATCTCTCCAAAATTTATTTATTGAAATTCTAACCTCAATGGGATGGCATCAGGAGGTGAGGTCCTTGGCATGAATCCTATTCATGCCCTTTATTAGAGCTCTCTTTCTGCTATGTGAAGAAACATGGAGAAGTCAGCAGTCTGCAACCCAGAAGAGGGCTCTCACTAGAGCCCAACCATTCTGGCACCCTAATCTCAGACTTCCAGCCTCCAAAACTGTAATAAATACATTTCTGTTGTTTATAAGCCACCCAGTCTATGGTATTTTGGTATAGCAGCCCGAATTAACTTAGACACATCCAATCCCCATAGAGTGGCAGTCTTTTTGCTAGTTTGTTTGCTATCTCCCAGACTGCTTTGATAAGCCTCCTCACAGACCCTGGATTTAAACAAGGAGTCTTCTTCCGGGCCTCATCCCCATGGAGCATTTTTAGTCCCCTTTCTCAAGGGCCAAAAAACCCACAACTTTCTGCTTGAGGTCCCAAGCCAGAAGATGTGTGGTATAGCTACATTTATCATATTCTATTCCTCTTTGTCAGAGGTGTGTGAACCACAGCAATTCCATTTTGAATAGGAGCTGGGTAAAATAAGGCTGAGACCTACTGGGCTGCATTCCCAGATGGTTAGGCATTCTAACTTATAGGATGAGATAGAAGGTCAGAACAAGATACAGGTCATAAAGACCTCACTGATAAAACAGGTTGCAGTAAAGAAGCAGGCTAAAACCCACCAAAACTAAGATGGCAACAAGAATGACCTCTAGTCATCTTCACTGCTACATTCCCACCAGCACCATGACAGTTTACAAATGCCATGGCAACATCAGAAAGTTACCCTATATGGTCTAAAAAGGGAAGGCATAAATAATCCATCCCTTGTTTAGCATATCATCAAGAAATAACCATAAAAATGTGCAACCAGCCACCCTCAGGGCTGCTCTGTCTATGGAGGAGTAGCCATTCTTTTATTCCGTTACTTTCTTAATAAACTTGCTTTCACTTTACTCTACAGACTCGCCCTGAATTCTTTCTTGCATGAGATCCAAGAACCCTCTCTTGGGGTCTAGATCAGGACCCCTTTCCTGTAACATCTTCTGTTTCAATCAATGGAGATTCTTTTTGTTGTTGTTGTTAATTAACACTTTTGCTTTGTTTTGTTTTAGTCCAGTAATGCATTGTATTATTTTCTCTTGTCACAGTTTACTATGTGTTTGAAGCACAAGATGCATTACAGCATTAACTCATATTGCCGTCTTGACCAGAAGTCCGTATCATGATGACTGTGAAAGGTGAGCCCACTTTCTCACTTACTGTTTTCCTTCTTGGGTTTTATTTGTATTTAAAATCCACTGGATGAAACTGTGCTGCCAGCTATAAATTTACCAAAATGTGCTCTTGTCATTCCCACAGTACTATACATGTTATTGAGAACATCATAAGAAATTCTGTCAAATGCTCTACTGATATTTAAATACCTAGATTATTCCACTTCTAAGAAGGAAATGACTTAACTTTGGCCCGAGTTAGTCTTGGTAAATGCCATAGTCAGTTGATAATCTTTTCTAAATTTTCTTGAAAGGGGTATCAACTTTATAAGGCCAATTTGATAACCATTTAAAAATGATGGAGTAAGTATCATTTATTATGCCAGGAATTCTGCAAGGACTTCTTCTTTGTGGCACCTCTCCCAAATTCTGCAATTCTTTAAAATTAGCAAGTGGTTATTTTCCCACCTCTGCACCTTCACCTTCATAAAACATCCCTCCAAAAAGTATTTATTTGGATCTGAGGAAGTGACTTCATTTAAAAGATCAAGGTGCCCACAGTTATCTGTCTTGAGCTTTCATTTTTTCTTAATTATGTTTGTTTACTCTATACTTGTCCGTTTTAAAGTTATTCTCCTGGATATGGAAGGACAAAGCATAAAAATTGAATAATTAAGCTTACTCACATGTCTAAACAACATAGTGTTTTCCTTCAAGTGGTATCTTATCCTTTTCTTTAACCTTTTTTCTAGTCTCATCCACACTAAGAGTATACCAGTCACCCTTCTGCAACTTTGCATTTTCTGTATGCCTCATATACATATATATTTATATGTGCTCAGTCAAGGGCTTCCAAAGGAGTTAAACTGGTTAGTTTTTAATCAACTATTATGTATTCACAATAATTAAAAATAAAAAGAAATATTAAATATTAAAAATCAAGCAAGAGAATTCCGAAAGACTCTCTGCAAGTCATTTTTGACATAAGTAACTATTTCATGACAAAACAGAAGTTCCCAAAATCACGGTATCTATTGTCTTGTATAGACGATGGTTTCCTCATTATAAAATATCTGAGCTTTTGATTTTTAAAACATTTTGAACAAGCCTGACAAAATGGCTAAACCCTTAAAGTCATATACAAGATCCCTTGAAGACATCAAGAAAATTTGTCAAATAACAGAAGCAGTGATGATGATATCAGTATCTAATACTTGTATGCAATTATCACTTACCAAAGTGCTTCATTAAACACTTTACATGAATTATCTCATTAAATCCTTTTCAAAAACTCCGAGGTAGTATATTGAGTCTAATAGTGTTCCCAAAAAAATTCATGCCCACCAAGAACCTCAGAATGTGACCTTATTTAGAAATACGGTCTTTGCAGATATAATTAGAGAATATGAGGTCACACTGGATTAGGATGGGCCCTAATCCTACGACTGATGTCCTTAGAGAGAAAACAGAAACAGACTCACAGGGAGAATGCCATGTGAAGACGGAGATATAGATTAGAGTGATACATCTACAAGCTAAAAAACATGAAGCCCGTCAGTGACAAGGCAGAATCATCTCACAGAGCCTTCAGAGAGAGCATGGCCTGCTGAAGCCTTGATTTCAGACTTCTATTACCTGGAACCAAGAGAAAAAAACTTTTCGTTTTTTTAAGCCACCAAGTTTTTGGTATCTTGTTGTTGACAGCCCTAGGAAACTAATACAGGTAGGTACTCTTTGTTATCCCATTTTATAGACTAAAAAACTGAAGTTCCAGAAGGTTAGGTAATTCATCCAAGATCAAATAGCTTGTAAACCACAAAAACTGGGATGAAAATCCAGGAACCCTGACCTCAAACCTAAGTATCCCCCTGCCCTGTGTGTGTGTATGTGTGTTTGTGTGTGTGTGTGTGTGTGTGTGTGTGAGAGAGAGTGCTGTATAAATGTACATGTATGTGTATGTATATAATATACAAACATAAATATATACACATACAAACACATGCAACCCCAAATGGCCAGAAAGTTGTATACATATTAGTGCTATGAAAGTTCAGAGGTGATGCAAAAGCATTACAGGATTGCAGGAGAGTCTCATCAAAGTTTTCTCTTCAAGGAGGTAGAACTTGTGTTGGACCTTACATTTTGATAAAATTAAATTAAGCCAATAAAAATTGGAGGGGTAGGGATGGACAATGGATCACAAGATGAAATGTTATGACTGCTAAATTATTCTGGCTGTAGCATAGAATCCAGGAAAAGACTAAAGGGAAGATGAGGTTGGAATGGAGAATGGCAGACAATGGTGGAGCACGATGTACACCAGGAAAAGGAAGTGAGTCTTTACATAAAGGAGCAAATTGCTATTATAAATTAGTGTACAGGAGTATTTGCATTTGCAAAGGAAGACAATGAAAACTACACATTTCAAAGATTAATCTAGTGACCATTCAGAATATGATCTGTATGGGAACAATGTTGGTGAGAAAGAAACTATTTCTGAGAAAAAAGCAATAATCTAAGCAAGAGGAAGTAAAGGCCTAGATCTGATTGGTAGCCAAAGAAAACAAACTGTAAGAGAAAGATTTGAGAAATGTTACAAAAGAAATAAGAGAAATTGATTTCTGATTGACTTGTTAAGTGGAAATATTAAGAGAAAGGAAAGGAAGCAGGCAGAAATAATTAAAGTGCAATTTATTATATTTAAAAAAATAAAGACACATGCCAAATTGTAAAGACCATCGAGGCCAGGAAGAAACTGCATCAACTAACGACGAAAATAACCAGCTAACATCATAATGACAGGATCAAATTCACACATAACAATATTAACCTTAAATGTAAATGGGCTAAATGCTCCAAGTAAAAGACAAAGACTGGCAAATTGGATAAAGAGTCAAGACCCATCAGTGTGCTGTATTCAGGAAACCCATCTCACGTGCAGAGACACACATATGCTC
This sequence comes from Homo sapiens, assembly GCF_000001405.40. NCBI lineage: Eukaryota > Metazoa > Chordata > Mammalia > Primates > Hominidae > Homo > Homo sapiens. Next base: position 53,163,006 of record NC_000002.12, read on the forward strand.
AAAATAAAGGGATGGAGGAAGATCTACCAAGCAAATGGAAAAAAAAAAAAGACAGGGGGTTGCAATCCTAGTCTCTGATAAAACGGACTTTATACCAACAAAGATCAAAAGAGACGAAGAAGGCCATTACATAATGGTAAAGGGATCAATTCAACAAGAAGAGCTAACTATCCTAAATATATATGCACCCAATACAGGAGCACCCAGATTCATAAAGCAAGTCCTTAGAGACCTACAAAGAGACTTACATTCCCACACACTAATAATGGGAGACTTTAACACCCCACTGTCAACGTTAGACAGATCAACAAGACAGAAAGTTAACAAAGATATCCAGGAACTGAACTCAGCTCTGCACCAAGCAGACCTAATAGACATCTACAGAACTCTCCACCCCAAATCAACAGAATATACATTCTTTTCAGCACCACACTACACCTATTCCAAAATTGACCACATAGTTGGAAGTAAAGCACTCCTCAGCAAATGTAAAAGAACAGAAATTATAATAAACTGTCTCTCAGACCACAGTGCAATCGAACTAGAACTCAGGATTAAGAAACTCACTCAAAACCGCTCAACTACATGGAAACTGAACAACCTAGTCCTGAATGACTACTGGGTACATAATGAAATGAAGGCAGAAATAAAGATGTTCTTCAAAACCAACGAGAACAAAGACACAATATACCAGAATCTCTGGGACACATTCAAAGCAGTGTGTAGAGGGAAATTTATAGCACTAAATGCCCACAAGAGAAAGCAGGAAAGATCTAAAATTGACACCCTAACATCACAATTAAAAGAACTAGAAAAGCAAGAGCAAACACATTCAAAAGCTAGCAGAAGGCAAGAAATAACTAAGATCAGAGCAGAACTGAAGGAAATAGAGACATAAAAAAACCCTTCAAAAAATCAATGAATCCAGGAGCTGGTTTTTTCAAAAGATCAACAAAACTGATAGACCGCTAGCAAGACTAATAAAGAAGAAAAGAGAGAAGAATCAAATAGATGCAATAAAAAATTATAAAGGGGATATCACCACTGATCCCACAGAAATACAAACTACCATCAGAGAATACTATAAACACCTCTATGCAAATAAACTACAAAATCTAAAAGAAATGGATAAATTCCTCAACACATACACCCTCCCAAGACTAAACCAGGAAGAAGTTGAATCTCTGAATAAACCAATAGCAGGCTCTGAAATTGAGGCAATAATTAACAGCTTACCAACCGAAAAAAGTCCAGGACCAGATGGATTCACAGCCGAATTCTACCAGAGGTACAAGGAGGAGCTGGTACCATTCCTTCTGAAACTATTCCAATCAATAGAAAAAGAGGGAATCTCCCTAACTCATTTTATGAGGCCAGCATCATCCTGATACCAAAGCCTGGCAGAGACACAACCAAAAAAGAGAATTTTAGACCAATATTCCTGATGAACATCGATGCAAAAATCCTCAATAAAATACTGGCAAACCGAATCCAGCAGCACATCAAAAAGCTTATCCACCATGGTCAAGTGGGCTTCATCCCTGGGTTGCAAGGCTGGTTCAACATACGAAAATCAATAAATGTAATCCAGCATATAAACAGAACCAAAGACAAAAACCACATGATTATCTCAATAGATGCAGAAAAGGCCTTTGACAAAATTCAACAACCCTTCATGCTAAAAACTCTCAATAAACTAAATATTGATGGGACGTATCTCAAAATAATAAGAGCTATCTATGACAAACCCACAGCCAATATCATACTGAAAGGGCAAAAACTGGAGCGTTCCCTTCGAAAACTGGCACAAGACAGGGATGCCCTTTCTCACCACTCCTATTCAACATAGTGTTGGAAGTTCTGACCAGGGCAATCGGGCAGGAGAAGAAAGTAAAGGGTATTCAATTAGGAAAAGAGGAAGTCAAATTGTCCCTGTTTGCAGACGACGTCATTGTATATCTAGAAAACCCCATTGTCTCAGCCCAAAATCTCCTTAAGCTGATAAGCAACTCCAGCAAAGTTTCAGGATACAAAATCAATGTGCAAAAATCACAAGCACTCTTATACACCAATAACAGACAGAGAGCCATATCATGAGTGAACTCCCATTCACAATTGCTTCAAAGAGAACAAAATACCTAGGAATCCAACTTACAAGGGATGTGAAGGACCTCTTCAAGGAGAACTACAAACCACTGCTCAATGAAATAAAAGAGAACACAAACAAATGGAAGAACATTCCATGCTCATGGGTAGGAAGAATCAATATCATGAAAATGGCCATACTGCCCAAGGTAATTTATAGATTCAATGTCATCCCCATCAAGCTACCAATGACTTTCTTCACAGAATTGGAAAAAACTACTTTAAAGTTCATATGGAACCAAAAAGGAGCCCGCATTGCCAAGTCAATCCTAAGCCGAAAGAACAAAGCTGGAGGCATCACACTACCTGACTTCAAACTATACTACAAGGCTACAGTAACCAAAACAGCATGGCACTGGTACCAAAACAGAGCTATAGACCCATGGAGCAGAACAGAGCCCTCAGAAATAATGCCACATATCTACAACTATCTGATCTTTGACAAACCTGACAAAAACAAGAAATAGGGAAAGGATTCCCTATTTAATAAATGGTGCTGGGAAAACTGGCTAGCCACATGTAGAAAGCTGAAACTGGATCCCTTCCTTACACCTTATACAAAAATCAATTCAAGATAGATTAAAGACTTAAATGTTAGACCTAAAACCATAAAAACCCTAGAAGAAAACCTAGGCAATACCATTCAGGACATAGGCATGGGCAAGGACTTCATGTCTAAAACACCAAAAGCAATGGAAACAAAAGACAAAATTGACAAATGGGATCTAATTACATTAAAGAGCTTCTGCACAGCAAAAGAAACTACCATCAGAATGAACAGGCAACCTATAGAATGGGAGAAAATTTTTGCAATCTACTCATCTGACAAAGGGCTAATATCCAGAATCTACAATGAACTCAAACAAATTTACAAGAAAAAAACAAACAACCCCATCAAAAAGTGGGCGAAGGATATGAACAGACACTTCTCGAAAGAAGACATTTATGCAGCCAAAAGACACATGAAGAAATGCTCATCATCACTGGCCATCAGAGTAATGCAAATCAAAACCACAATGAGATACCATCTCACTCCAGTTAGAATGGTGATCATTAAAAAGTCAGGAAACAACAGGTGCTGGAGAGGATGTAGAGAAATAGGAACACTTTTACACTGTTGGTGGGACTGTAAACTAGTTCAACCATTGTGGAAGTCAGTGTGGCCATTCCTCAGGGATCTAGAACTAGAAATACCATTTGACCCAGCAATCCCATTACTGTATATACCCAAAGGTTTATAAATCATGTGGCTATAAAGACACATGCACATGTATGTTTACTTCGGCACTATTCACAATAGCAAAGACTTGGAACCAAGCCAAATGTCCAACAATGATAGACTGGATTAAGAAAATGTGGCAGATATACACCATGGAATACTATGCAGCCATAAAAAATGATGAGTTCATGTCCTTTGTAGGGACATGGATGAAGCTGGAAACCATCATTCTCAGCAAACTATCGCAAGGACAAAAAATGATGCTGGAAACCATCATTCTCAGCAAACTATCGCAAGGACAAAAAACCAAACACTGCATGTTCTCACTCATAGGTGGGAACTGAACAATGAGAACACATGGACACAGGAAGGGGAACATCACACACCAGGGCCTGTTGTGGGGTGGGGGGCGGGGGGGAGGGATAGCATTAGGAGATATACCTAACGTTAAATGATGAGTTAATGGGTACAGCACACCAACATGGCACATGTATACATATGTAACTAACCTGAACGTTGTGCACATGTACCCTAAAGCTTAAAGTATAATAAAAATAAATAAATAAAAAAATAAAGACAGAAGTGGGATTAGAAAAAAATGATTAACAAATTTAGTTTAACTACCTACATCAAAGATCATCGTAAATATTATTCCTTTCCATCATGAAAATGGATTAACTCAATTTTTCTCTAAAATTACTATTCTATAAAATACTATAATTGTTTTTGTTATATATTATAGTCTTTCTCCTATGTTTACCTAATATCCTAAAAGCTATTGACCTTTTAAGTGAAAAATAAATCCCCAAATTATAACATATAACTTGGAAATTGTCATTGTCATATAACACATTTCCCTAGAAAAAATAGAAATTGGATCAGCTAAAGAAAAATGAAGTAGTTTTTGCTTTAGACTACTTAGTGTCCCCATAAATTATTAGTAATCAAAAATGAGACTGGCATATTTCACAGTTTGCCTAACAAACTGATCTTTTATGAGCACGCACGTAGCAAATCAGGAAAGTGATCATCACATTTCAGGAAGAAATATGTACCTAGTCAGCAAAAACCAAGATGTCATATGTAATGCTCTCTCTATTCCAAGGGCATGAAAAAGGTCGTTTGTTCAATTTCCTAGCACAAAGCTAACATATATGAAATAAAGTACAGTTTCATTGAGAATCACGTCCAAGAATTTTAATTTTTTGCAAAAGCATTTCAAAGTTGCATCCAAATGCCTACCTGAACTTGCCAAGCTGAGTGGAAAATAATAATTGCTGATATATATTTCACCAATGTAAGAAAACACTTTGTCTTAGTTCCTGTCTCAAGTCATGAGGGAAATGTAATGAAGACCTTATTACATTGGACAATATATGGCTTATAAGATATTTGAAACATTTATTGATCTCATGAGACATGCCAGAATAATGGGAGTGGGCAGTGTGATGTATTAATATTAATCCCACATCAAGGCTTTGTGATCCAGATATTTTTCTACATTGTAAAATAATATACAATTCTCCTCTTCATCCCATCACCATAACAACCATATGTAAATGCTTCGTCTAATATCTAGTATCAACAGATAAGACAACCACCAGGCTTAAACGGTTTTACTTAGAATTTATGTGGAAGGTGAAAAATTCAAGATCTGACTCTAATCATGACATCTAATCTACAGTTTTAAAATTAAATGTTAGACGTTGTCCATTTTCTGTAACAACATAATTTTGGATATTTCTTGCTTACATTTCTCCGTATACTAACCTCTAACTCTTATTTGTGTTTCCCTGATCAATATATATCACAACTACTCCCAACACACCTAAATATTTCAATAATACTAAGAATGTTAAAAGGACATTTTTGACTGAAAAGGGGTTCCTATTCAAGTCTGTATTTTATTGCAACACAGACTATTTGATAAGTTAATATCACACACAGAGGTGGAATCATTGTCTTTACATGATTTCTGTTTAAGGACATGAGTATGTTACTCTAATCAAATAAAAATATATTCCAACAAAATTGTCCACAAACTTAAGAGAAAATTCACTTGTGGAGTTCACCTTTGAGGTAGTCTTCTTCTTGCTGTTTAAAATCTATTGAAATTAACAAATACTTATTTCAACAATTACTTCAACTCCAACTGGAATGTACACTTCTTGTGCTCAAGAAACATATCTCAAAGCATTTTTATATTCTCCATATTATCAAGCAGTGTTAAATATACAATGGAATTAGAGTAAATATTGATTAATTAAAAAGGGGAAATTGTTATTTCATTTTTGGATCTGTAAAAGAAGTGGCCTGGTATCGCTCAAAATCAGGAATAACACTTCATGACCTCTAAATAAGGACTTTTAGATGGAAGAATTTGAAGATAATTTCCATGTCTTCCTGATAAACGAACCATCTTCTCTTTACTTTGTAATTTAGAAATTCACAGCCATAGTTTGATTTCAAATACCAACCTAAATGACAGCCCCATCATTCAAACTTTGAGTACAGATGGCTGACATTCCAGTCAGGCTGGGAGAGAGAGCTCTGCATTTGTTAAATTTGTAAAGGTCTTTATTAAATAGTTCCTTTATTAAAGGATCTACTGCTCTTTAAAAAAGCCCTAAATGCTGTCAAAATATTTTATGTTCCAATTATTGTTTTAATTATGAAAATACATGCATCCTACTGAATTTTAAAAATAATTACTCTTACATTCACAGGCCCCACATTTCTACAAATTTATTTTAAAAAGTAGTATCTTTGAAAGCCAAACCAATATTAGGGATGTCATATCCATAAACAACCCTCATAACAAGTTCATTGCCACAATTTCCAAAACTTTTGGAACCTGTAAATTAACTTAGAATATATTGAATAAATAATTAGGAAGCAATAAAAGAGAATGGACATGGAGTTAGACACAACTAGATTCTATTCATGGCTCTTCTGTTTACTAGTTCTAAACTTAGGCAAGTTACTCTGGACTCTGTTTTCCTCATGGGTGAAATGTGTGGTAATTGACTCTACTTCATAAGGTGGTTGTGAGAATCAGTGTAATAATACATATTCAGTGACTATTACAGGACCTGGCACATATCTACTCAATAATTGCTAACATCTACAACTTCAGGGAAGAAAGGTGAGAGAGGAGCATGAGAAAGAAAGGAAGAAGTGGGAGAAGAGATTTTCAAGAGCATAGTTTTCTTTCCTAAAGACATGGCATAGGTGTTCTGGTCATAGGCAGCTCATTGAGGGGTTCAAAACATGGTCAGTATGTGATTTGATTGATTGAGTAAGTGAATAAAAGAAGAGAAACAAAAGAACCAAAAGACAAAGAAAAGGGAGAGAAAAGAGAAAAAAGAAAGAAGATAAAAAAGAGTTATACTCTTTAACTTAGGCACATGTGAAACAAAGAAACACAAACTACAAACCGGTAGAGCATTGTCACCCACATCAATAAATGTTAGCAAATGTAGATTGGGTTAAATATAATTTGAAAGACTATACTGAATAAATGTGATTATAACAATGCCTCAGAACAATTTCCAAATTAAAGCAACCGGTCTACCTTTATAAAGTCACATATGAGGGAAGGTAGCTGCACATTTGAATATCAGAATTTATCATCCCTTACCATGGATGCACAATTACTTCAATCTTTGGTATTCCATGCCTAAATCCCAGATCTGGGAAAACCATGAAATAGAATGGTTTTGCCCTGCTTTGATTTGACCTATTTTCCCCTGATTAAAAATTGTCACTTTTGAGCCTGTATATTGTTTATGTCAATCATTTAAAAATGGATTTAGCCAGACACGGTGGCTCCCACCTGTAATCTCAGCACTTTGGGAGGTGGAGGTGAGAGGATAGCTTGAGTTCAGGAGTTCAAGACCACCTTGGGCAACACAGAGAGACCCCACCTATGCAAAAAGTTTTAAAATTAGCCAGGCATGGTGGCATGCACCTGCAGTCCAAGCTACTCGGGAGGCTGAGGTGGGGGGATTGCTTGAACCTGGGAGGTAGAGGCTGCAGTGAGCCATGACTGTGCCACTGTACTCCAGCCTGGGAGACAGAGCAAGATCCTGTCTCAAAAAAAAAGAAAAAAAAAAAAAGATTTAAAGCAAAACAAACATCATCCAAAAGTGAACTATAAGAGGGACACTCGAATCAAGAGTGGTCTGGCAAGAATCAAAGAAAGAAAAAACATTTGCAATTTCTCAGAAACCTAGGTTACGATGACCATATGTTCCCAATTACCACACTGCCCTTAAGCAATGAAGTTTATATACAAGTTGATTATGTTTTTGTTCACTGGAATCTAAGTTGCTTTTTATCTCAGAATACTGAAATACTTATGACTTAGGCAACAGCTGCAACTCTTAGATGATTTTCAAATGACCTAAATACAGAGATTTGGGGAAAATGAATTATGAACATGCAAACACATAACAGACAATTCAGCTCACCAGGTTTGAGATGATGCTAGATTTTTCTAACATGTCTTCCTTTAACTGTATTTCATTTATTTAATGAATTATGCCTAATTTTCTAAGCTTCTTGCCATTGTATTGGTTCATATTATATAATTTCATAATTAGCATGAGAAAATATTATGCTTTATCACTACATTAATTAGAGCCAGGCATTTAAGGTAACATAAAAGCCTTATGTTACCTTACCCACTTTGTTAGGAATGAACCTGTTATTTTTTCGTAAAGAATTTTCTTTTAGACCCACATTTAAGGACAGTCATATTGAAATGACAATTCATGTAGAGATACTTGGAAAGGGAACTTCAGAGTATGTTCTGTACAGTAAATATACTTACAGACTCTCCTACAGACACAGCACAATAACAAATATAACATATGGATGCTCCAAACTATTCATTATTAATCTATTCTCCTAAATCATTACCAATCTGATGCCTTTTGGAGTCTTTAGATTTGAGATTTTGCTTTCATCCTCAATCTGTCAGTTGAACAAAAATTTTCTGAGACCTGACTTATGAGCCATGCACTGCTCTAGATCCTAGTATTGCCAAGAGAAATAAGACCTCATTATTAAATATAAATAAATAAAGCTGATTATTCCTTATGACATTAGTCAGGAACTTATAATCTAGTCAAAGAAGATAGACAAGTGAAAAAAGAAAGAAATGTTATGTTTGCAATAGTAGACATCTGTGGCCAGGCACAGTGGCTCACGCCTGTAATCCCGAGGTTACGCCTATAATTGCAAGGTTTATGCGGTATTCTTAAACACTTTTCTAATCAGCAAATTTCATCATTTTTTCTTCCCTATATACAAGGAGGGAACAAATCCTATCAGGACTGTACACAGAGCTGGTCCAAACATCACTTTCACAAAAAGTAGAAAGAGATCATTTGGAGATAAGGGGAAGAAAGAGGCTAGGACGTTAAGCAGAAATAAGCTCATCATCTAAGTACTGGTGTGTTCCACTGAGACCTCCATAAGAAAGCACAGACTTTGGCTATCAGACCTCTCCTGTTACCCAGTCTTGATATTCTCTTCTCCAGTTGACCTATCCTTCTTGAAAAATTAACATAGAAAACACGAATTTTTATCTGCCTTTATGCTTGCCCCTAAAAAGAGGCCTGTAGCATTTGAGATGCTGTGTGGAATTCAAAGAATGTCAGTTGGATAATTCTTTGTCAGTTTTTAAAGCCTTAGTTTCAACAAATCTATGTTATATTAGACCACATCACTAATTTACATAGATTCTTATTTCTTTGTCATAAAATGATTGCAAATTTTATACGCTGGGTGTGGTGGCTCACACCTGTAATCCCAGCATTTTGGGAAGCCAAGCTAGAAGGATTGCTTGAGCTCAGGAGTTCAAGACAAGCCTGAGCAACATACTGAGACCCCATCTCTACAAAAAAGAATAAAAATTTTAAATTACCTGGGCATGTTGGTGCACGCCTTTAGTTACAGAGCTACTTGGGAGGCTGATGTGGGAGGATTGCTTGAGCCCAGGAGGTAGAGACTGCAGTGAGCTATGATTGCACCACTGCACTCCAACCTAGGTGATAGTGTGAGACCTGATTTCAGTAAATAAAGAAATAGGCCAGGCATGGTGGCTCAAGCCTAAAATCCCAGCACTTTGGAAGGCCAATGCAGGCAGATCAGTTGAGGTCAGGAGTTCGAGACCAGCCTGGTCAACATGGTGAAACCCCATCTCTACTAAAATACAAAAATTAGCCGGGTGTGGTGGCACACACCTATAATCCCAGCTACTCGAACGGCTGAGGAAGAAGAATCACTTGAACCCAGAAGGCAGAGGTTGCAGTGAGCCAAGATCACGCCACTGCACTCCAGCCTGGGTGACAGAGTGAAACTCCATCTCAAAAAATAAGAATAAATAAAATAAAATAAAATAAAATAAATGTGTTAGGATAAAATATGTGAATCATATTAAGACCAAAATACTGAAAAATTAGGGCAATGTCTACTTTATAAATCCCTTACTATTATCGTGGTCAAATGGTAAACTATAAATTTAGTCTGTGGTCTTTTTAAAAGAGTGATTTTATAAGTGTTTTTATGTTCTAGAGCACACTTTCTGGAGTTCTTACAAACCAATCCACACCTCTTGACTCTCAATTGCAGGAACTCTTAGAGGAAACACTTCTGAAGTTTAGACATCTTCCAAATGGCTATCTATTATTCACTTATAAGAAATACCAGTTTTGAGGATAATGAAAGAGGTTCCAGAGAAAGCATATGGACATCAGGAAATTATGTTGCATTTTGATCTTAAACAAGTCATCTGCAAGTGTCCCTTGAGAGATGAGATTGGCCTAGGACTTCATTTTCAAAGAGAATTGATGGAGCATTAAAGCCAAAAATGTTTGGGACCAACTACACAGTCCAATCAGCTTATCTTTGAATGAACTATGACAGACACCAAATGTAACGCCAAAAAAAATCAAAGCAATTGCCTGTGGATTCTGCCAATAGAGGAAAATTCTGCCAGTAAAAAAGAGCATGCTTGGCCTAGCAGCTGGAGTCTCAAACTGCTTTTTAAACATAAGCAAAAAAAATAGAAATACAAAGAAACAGTGATCAAGAATAGTTTGGAGAGTATAACATGGGAATATTCAATACAAATGTCTTTGTTAGTCATTCTGTAAATCTTTCTTTGCCAAGGTGGATCACTAGATATTTCTCATCCAACAGAAATGCTTCAATACTATATTAGGTAGCACATCCTATTTAATTATTCAACTTTTTCCAATGTGCTTTCCTTAAGAGTCAAGGGAAGACAGTGACAAGAGAAAGGGAATATATGCTAGATGCTTCAGAGACATTAATTTCTTTATTGCCTGTGTTTCTTCTCAAGAAGAAAACTCACGGATCTCTTAAAAAAAAAAAAAGCTTGGAACTAAAACAATTGAAAAGATTAAAGCCACTCAGAACCTCAGAGAGTCACAGGAAGGACCTTAGAAACTCCCTGATTGCTTTTCCCATTCCAGGAAGTTTCCACCAGCCTCTTCTTGTGCACTTGTGGAAATGGGAACTCCCCTGGTTATAAGCATGCTCATATCGTCACTGCGGAGCCTCAGTGTTCTATGTGCCCCTTCTAACTCTGCCGTCTGATGTAACGAAGACCAAGCCTACTGTTTCTTTCATGTATGCCCCTTCCTTCAATTATTAGGTAGCATCAATGGCCTCCCAATTTTCCTGTTTTTCTAAGACAAACCTCCAATTTATGCAATGATATCTTGGATACCTTTTGACTCTTTATCATCCTGTTCAACTTCCTCTCTGTGTTTGATCAGTTACTAAGGATCACGTGTAGGACAGGTTCAGATGACTGAATATGATAAATATAGTAAAAAAGTTCAGTTTCAGTCTGCTATAATTAACTGTGTCTGTTGTTAGGTTAACTATCTCTTGAGGCGGCTTGTTAAACTGACTAGCATGACCTGTGCCCTACACTCACTAAAATATACAAATCTATGCAATCTTCAGAGTGTTTCTTGGTCCTCTCCAGACTAATTTATAGCTTCTTCCCATCCCAATAACATCCTAAACTTGCTCCAAGCTCAGCCTATCTCATCTCAAGATCACCTGCAGCACACCCCAAGCTCATTCCAACTTATTCTCACCTCCTTCTAAGGCCAACTCAACCTCATTTCAACCTCACTCTTACTGCATCAGAAAACCTTCTTCTCTAGGTATCTTTTGATCCCTTTTAGTAAACTCTACAACATCCTTAAAGTTAAGCAAACAATAAGTCTTTTTATATAAATATGTGTATAAATTTGATCTTTTGTAAGCCAACTGAAATAGGTCCAAGGCACACTCTTAAAGACAGTGTCTACAAGTAAACTCAATACTCCAGGTGTAGTACAATCAGCACAGAGAACAGAGGTAACTTTACTATGTTTGATCAAGACAATACTTTTATGAGTGTAACCTAGATTTGCATTAGCATTTTGAGTAATGATGACACAACTATGTTGAACTTGTAATCTACTTAAATGATAAAGTCTTTTTCACAATAGCATGTTAAAAACGCATTCAACCAGTAAGGGTGTGATAAAGCATATTAAATGATGGCAATGTCAATACTTTAGAGTAATGTTATAGACCATGGCTAAAATTTACATGAGAATAGAAGAGGCAATTTGATCACATTTATACTTTTAGAGTTAACCAATTCAGTCTATTGTTTTTTTCAATATATCCCTCACTTAGCCATTGATCATTACTTCATTTCTGAGTTTGAGATTTTGATTCCTACTAAATCACTTGAGAAGAATAGTACATTAAACCGTCAAGTATGGCTAGGAGAGGAAATTTTGACAGAGAATAAGAGAGAAGCATAAAGAAGAGAACTAAACACCTACAGTAAAATGAGCAGAAAGGCTACTGAACCAGGAGGACGAGATCACTAAAGAAAGCTTCACTAGATCCAAAGTGTTCATTAAAGTTAATTCTGTTGATGACAGCACTAAAACCTCCAACCAACCCTCCTTGCACTTCCCAAGAAGGCACATAGATGATGACTTCCACATTCTTGAAAGACAACATGCCTCTCCAATGGTAAAAGCTTCAGAGTCATGACAGAAGAGGAAACATGCCCATCTCTCATTACTGTGAGTGGAGGTTTCCTGGGTATTACTGGGGTACAACAAAAGGAACCATTTGAATAATGAACTATGTTCATTAATTTTCAAGGATCTTAATTTATTCAAATTAGTTTTCCTATTTACTAGCTTCTGATGTGGAAAAGAGTTAAGAATGCAGGAGAAAAAGTAGAGAGAGTTCAAGGATTAATTTTCAGGATCCAAGAGTTCATAATCAACCCAAGATTAAAGTTGGAAGTATTTAGTGCTACCAAATACTTATGTGCATATGGATTTATATGCCAGATTTATCAGGCAACAGAAGCCTAAGGTAGCAGGTTGGATTGATTTTATGGTGAGGAGACTACAAAAATAATCACTCAACAGCCCAGTCCAACTCTCCTTGAATTGCCTTAGTTTGATTGTCACATTGGAAATTCCTAATCGCTATCACGTAGCTCATTCCATTAGTACTTTCCTTTAGATTAATACCTGGTTGCAAGAATTAGATTTTACCAACAACAGTAATAAACACAGAGGGGCACTGCCTCACCATAGTCAGGGAAATGCAGAAAAATAAATGCCCATCTTGTACACATGCTTTGCTTTTCATTAAGATATAAATATATCTATATGTACAACATCCAACGGGGTCATTCTATCTTCAGTGGTAGACAACAAAATATGGAAAGGTCAATCTTCTCTATTTCCTTTTTCTGTAAGCACTGCTAAGACTGCTGTGAAGGCTTACTTCCTAATTACTTCCAGATACTCGAATTAAGTTGTGTGTCTATGTCAATCATGATGTGATATGACATGATAAGAGAGGATGACCCTGTGATGTGACATAATGCCCTGACCATCACTCATAGATGCACTTAATGATGCACAAATGTATGCCATAATCCAGCTAGCAAAAGAGCAGAGTCAAATGTCAGTTAGCTTTTCAATCTCTGTGCTAAATTAATAAAAGGAATAGTGTAGTGTAATAATAAGTCACTCAAAGCTTAACACATATAAAATCACTACCTCTAAGAAGCAACCATGCCTATTAGCAGGAAAGGAAACTGGCTGGACCTGAAGTTTTGCAGAATGGCTAGTGAGAATGACAATAACATGACAGTGCCATTCTATGTCTCCCTGCTGTTCTTACAGCACTTGTCAGTAAAACTATGTTTACATATAGGGAGAATATTTGTAGAGTCCTTGGGTACTACACCTGGGGATTTCCTAGGCTTTAGGTTTCTAGGGAATTTAGGGTGCCTTATGCTATGGTTTGAATGTGTCTCCTCCAAAAATTCATATGTTGGAACTTTAATGCAATTCAATGCAATAGTGTTGGCAGGTGGAGCCTGACAGAAGGTGTTTAGGTCATGAGGCCTATGCCCTCATGAATGGATTAATGTTATTATAAAAACATTTGCAAGACAGGGTTTGTTGTCTTTTGCTCTTCTGCCATGTGAGGACACAACAGTTGTCCCCTCTTGCCTTTCTACCTTCTGCTATGTGAGGATGCAGCAAGAAGGCCCTCACCAGACAGCAGATGTTGGCATTTTGATCTTGGACCTCCCACCCTCCAGAACTGTGAAAAATAAACTTCTATTCTTTATAAATTACCCAGTCTATGGTATTCTTTATAGCAGCACAAACAGACTAAGACAACGGAAATAATATATTTCAAGAGTTTTCATTTCAGATCCCCTTTCAGATTGATTTCAGTTAATGGCCATGTCTTGATTATCATTGCTTGCCCTCATGGTACACAATGATGGAGGAGAGCCCTAAATATGTTGGATGGTGTACCTTTCTGCCTTAGTGACACAAATTTCCTCCTCACGGCCAAGAAATTTTCATGGGAATCAGAATAATAAGCTGGGTGTTAAAGAGTTCCATATTTTGAGAGCTACTGAGCTGATTCAATTTTCCCAGTGTGATTTACCTCCAAGAACTGTAGAAATGACCAATCAAAAGAATCACAGATAGAAGTGATGACTGCTTTTTCCTTTTTCTGCCAAGTCTGCTTGGAAACGCTGAGAAGACTGATCCACACACACCAATTTAAAAAATAGCACATTGTTTCCTCCACTTAAATTTAGCTTTTGCATCACATCCTTACAGCTGTTTATTCTCCTTGCACTTTGAGTTTCTAGACTGTTCTATTTGTCATTGATTTTGATGCTTCTTACTGTCCAATAGTTTGAAAGGACATTTCCTTTCCTTGAGTCATATTCTCATGGGATTAGGTCAGTTGGTCAGGTCAGTTGGTGTTTTTTCAAGCTGTAGTTTGTACCTTGAAGATTTTAGGTACATGGTGGCTCACATCTGTAATCTCAGCACTTTGGAGGTCTAGGCAGGTGGATCAGCTGAGGTCAGGAGTTCCAGACCAGCCTGGCCAACATGGCAAAACCCCATCTCTACTAAAAATACAAAAGAATTAGCCAGGCATGGAGGCATGTGCCTGTAATCCCAGCTACTTGGGAGGCTGAGGCAAGGGAACAGCTTGAACCGGGGAGACGGAAGTTGTGGTGAGCTGAGATAGCACCACTGCACTCCAACCTGGGCAACAGAGTGGGACTTCATCTCGAAAAAAAAAAAAGATTTTAGATACAAACAACTGGGCTATTGACGGCGGCTTCCTATCATTTCAGGCAAGCCAATGAAAACTTCACCTGGGTCTTTATTAAACAGAAATACTTTCAGTGGTCTATTCAGATTATCATTAACTTTATACAGTTCAGAAGTCAATCTGTGATATCAAAAAGGGTAGGATCGTGCATCTGAGGATCATACATTTCATAT
This sequence comes from Homo sapiens, assembly GCF_000001405.40. NCBI lineage: Eukaryota > Metazoa > Chordata > Mammalia > Primates > Hominidae > Homo > Homo sapiens. Next base: position 53,178,273 of record NC_000002.12, read on the forward strand.
CATTGTTCTCTGGTTGAAAAATCCTGCTCTAACATGCTTGCAGGGTACCTCAGGAGTGTGACATTAACAGTGACTACCAGAGACAAGTTTAATTATATCACAGTGTAGTAGAGAGATCCTGCTATATGAATTGATATCAAAGAAACTTATTTTTTACTTTCAAGGCCAAATAAATTCTTACAGTAAGAAGAGAAGAATAAATAGACCCAACTGATTTCTTATTAACTATGTGTGACTATTTCTTTTGAAAAAGTACTTTAGTTTGTTTCACTGATGAAGACTATCACCAAAAAGCATACACAAAATAGTCTTTTTTGTGTGATACCCAATATAATAGGAAATTCACTGTAGAGAAATAATTATTTTTTCAAATACTTTGAAATAAGAGTAAAAATTTCTTCTCTCTTGCATCACAAATTGTAACATAGACCATTTCTCCATAGGAATCAAACACAGTCCAATCAGCACCGTTGGTAAATGGTTCCAAAACAGGAAAGCAAATGAAAGATGACAACAAATGTAAAATCAGAGGTGTCCTGTTGAATCATGAAAGTGTTTATTTTAGCTTAAGAATTACTGACATCCCAAACTACTGCAGTGCCAAACCACTGCAGTTTACCTTGATCATCCTCTTCAAATTCTATTTCTATTTTAAAAGTTATGTATGTACAGCAAGCCCATGGAAAACTTAGCAAGGTACATGGTTTAAAAGGAAAATGACAAATTTCTTCTCAGTGGTTACATTGCAAATAAATTATGTTGAATGATTCAGTGTATTTTTAAAATTTCAGTTGGAGGGTCAGCCTGTGCCAAACCTGATGAAGTACACCTTCTATTAATTACCACAGAACTTTGGAAGAAATGAAGGTGAAATTCAGTTCTGAAAAAAAAAAAAAAGAAAAAAAAAAACACCTGTTTGTATTTCACTAGCTAACCAGGGTAGGATGACTCCACAGGACCTTGGGAATCTCCAGATGCCTGCGGAACACTTTTTCTAAGAAGATGTTAACTGTGATGATATAATACCCATAATTGAGACCAAGGGAGTGGGTGAAAGCAGTTAATATTTTACTTTATTGAGCATTTACATGTCCCAGATACTATGCTAGGCACTTAAAACATAATTACTCACTTTTTTCTATCAATGATATGAAGTAGTTAGCATAACGTGTATATTATAAATATAAAAATTAACATTCTTGGAATAAAAGTAGTTTATATAATAAGTAGCAGAGCTGGCAGGAATTTGTTTGCAAAGCCATTTCTTTAGATTAAAACACTTTTCCTCCAAGGAATCGAAATGTTCAACATTACTCAAGTGGGTATCATGAGACCTGAGTCTAATCCATGCTTTATTCATAGCTTACAGACTTTGGGTAACTGCGCCTCAGCCCTCATTCCCCTCTGTGTAAAATAGAAAATATAATAATACCTATTTCATAAAGGTGATGATCAAAATATTAAATATATATAAAAACCTGTGACAAGTAACCAGAAACAGCTATTATTTTTTATGGACCCTCAATGTGTTACTTGCAAACTGAGACAACCAAGAGTGTTTCTACTCTAATTCTATGATATTCTACCTTGTGATTTAGCATTTTCTATATGTCTGTCCTCATAGCTCATAGCTCCCATGACTAATCCAGGAGTGACCCAAAGAAGAGCCTGACTTTTTAACAAGTCATTAATGTCAAGTCAAGTTCAGCAAAGAGAAAGGCTATAGTCTCAGGTAATGAGAAGTATGATGAACAAAGCAGCAAGGTAAAGAGAAAGAGAATAACTGGGCCGGTATTCAAAAGTGTGAATAAGCAAGCAAGGGCTATTAGAGAAGGTAAAATTCGAGCAGAGAACTAAATGAAATGAGCGATCAAGTCATTTGAAAATCTAGAGGGAAAGCATTTGGAGCAGAGGAAATAGCAAACACAGAAGTCTTAGTGTGTGAATAAGATTGGTGTGCTCAAGAACAGCAGTAGGGCTGAAGTGGAAGGGGCAGGGATGGAGGGGATGGGAGGCCACAAGGCTGCCACCAGTTCACACAGGGCCTCGCAGACCAAGTTTAATTCTTAGGAGTCTGGAACCTTATTTTACCTGTCACCTTCAGCCAGAAGAAAATTTCATGCACATAAGTGACATAAATGTTTTACATTTTTAAAAGCCCACTGGCTGCTGTGTACAGAAAAGCCTGAAGAGGAAGAAGGAACAGAGGTAAGAACTACAGTGAGGACATGTTACAAAAGTCCAGAGAAGAATGGTGTTTTGAACTAGAATGTCAGTGTTCAAGGGTTGGTTAGGGGATAGAGCATGAGTGTCATGTTGACAGGACTTGGCTAAAGCGCTGGCAACAGAGTGACAGTGAATGAGAAAAATCAGTGATTCCAGGTTTGCTACGTATTGGAATGGGGCATGGAGGAAGACCTTTGGCAGAAGCTAATGCTGTCCACTTGTCTAGGCTCCCCACAACGGTGCCCATTTTCTCCTGATGTCAACTCAGATCTGCCCAGTTCTTCACTAACCTATCTGCTGGGCTTTCTCAAAATTCCCAATTCTCCAGGTAGGTCACATTTGACCTCTGTCCCCTATAACTCCATGATCAGAACTCAGGCTTAAAGTCAAGAGATAGTAAAGAAAAAAATAGCCCGGAAGCCCCAAAACGGTCATCACAGCTCGGCATGTAGGGAGTACTCCCAAAGTTGACCAAAGGGAACAATCAATCAAAACACATTAACTATCTACTATGTGTCTTACCTGGTTTTGATACCATAGAAAATTTAACATAAGTTTTAAAACTTAACCACCTAGAAATTAAAATGTAGTTGAAAAACACAACAGTATGTATAGCACAATTACAAACAAAAATCTCATAATGATATGACTATGGCTGTATCTTAAAAATACAAGAATTCAGTAGAGAAAAAGGTATATGAGTTCCTGTCTGACAGTACCCAACACAGCGACTGGCATACGGTACCTTCCATGACTTAAAAACAATTTATCAATGAATTACTTAATTTATTAATAGAACCGAAGTACTTGGGATTGGCATTATATAAAAGAGGAACTTGAGAAAAAAAAAACATCATATTCCACAAGTTATTTGTGCAAAAAAATATACAAAATAGGCCAACTATTGGAACAGTGAGGAGGCCCAGAAAAGACCAACATGCTATTTAAGAAATAATACATAAGAAACCATTCTTGCCCTTTCTTTTTATATGCTGTCTCATCAATACACAAAGTTTTATGTTTTCTATGCTATCTTGAGATAAATTTTCCATGAAAGGAGAACAAGGCCTCTCTGAATTTCTATAAGCCACATCACTGTCCTCTCTCCGCATACTGAGCCTTGCTGCCACCCAGCCAAGAGAAGCATGTGTTTGCCCACTGATACTCTTGGGCAGAGAGAGGTCAGTCCTCCCTGAATCTCCCTGTGAGCCTGTAAAGCTGGTTGGCAATTCTAGCTGGTTGGCAATTTTGAATATTCGAAAGCATCTGAGATAATAGGCAACTTATTTCCTGGAGAAGTATTTACTCTCTGCTTTGACCCTTGGTATCTCTTCTATTGCCTAAAACATAAAAGCCACAGCAATTTACCAGATTGTCAATTTCCTCTCTAAGCTGATTTTATCTTTGCCCTTAACTTAAAACCAAATAACAGAGGAAATGGACCACAAATGGATTGGTTTAAAGGTGAACCCCAGATACAAAATGGCTTAGCCGGCAGGAAGAATTCACCCACATCATCTCTGCCGCATTACACATTACAATTTTGAAGCAGATCCATTGTCACTTATGAAAATAGTAGTTTCTTTTTGACAGTTTCCACCAAAAGGCAGGGTATTCTCCACATTTCTTTGCCTTTCTCCTATCATACATTAGGAAGGCTGCCAAAATTCATTTGATTAAGAAAAAAGACTGGCTTTCTTGCCTGTCTGCTTTCATTCCTTCGAAAGGAGTGCCTTACCTACAATTTTTCAGAATAAGGAGAGACCCAAAATAGTGTGTCATTGCCAGAGACTCATTAGCCAGCCTCACTTTCTACCCCACTCACAAGGATAGAATCAAAATTTAATCCCCGCAGTACATCTGAGCAGTTTGGAGAAATTCACTGGTTTATCACAAGGAATGCAAAAAGCTGAAAAAATACTTTTCACACATCAGATGGACAACTTCAAATTTCTCTGGATGACCACCAAAGGAAAACTTATCTTTCAGATGGTTGAAGAAGACCTTATTCTGCCTTCTTTATTTGCTAGGACAGACACTTTAGTCAGACATCTTCTCTCTAATCAACCCCTCCCCAAAACTATCATTAGGAAATACATCAGAGAGCTCCCCTTCAATCATGAGAAAATCCGGCTGCAATCTCCTCAGGCATTTTAAGGTATGGGTCTTCAGTGAGATATTTTTCTTCCTTCTTTATGGTTGAAAGTTAGAAAAGCTGTTGCCTACGTACACAGAGGCCTCTCCAAGCAGTCAGATCATATTCCAGTTTGGTGAGAAAGCCTTTGATTAAGCCAGCTTTCTCTTCACCTGCTGTGACAGGCCCAGGAAGAAGATATCTGCCTTCCTAGAATGATTAACTGGCTGTGAGAAGGAGCTCTAGTATTAGCGCAGAGCTGGCTTCTCTGTACTAGGTTCTCAGATCAGAGCAAGAAAAGATATGGGAAACTGACCCCAAAGAGAAAAAAGTCAGGAAGTTCATACGTTTTCGCAGTGATCTTTCTAGCACTCAGAAACACACATTCACTTACACAATACTCCCACACTCCCCACCTACATACAGGTTTGATATTAAATGCAATACAAAGGTTGCAAGTTCTCCAAAATGAGATATGCTTTTAAAAACTGGTTGCAGAAAAACTGCACCTATTTTTTCCATGATACAAAAATCACCCTAAGACATGTAAGTTGGCAGATGGTACGCTTACTGTTAAAGGAAAATTACACAGGACAAGATAAGCAAACAGAAGTTTATTTTATTCTGATATTATCACTAGCAATATGAGAGAAAGCACAGACCACTTCTGAGTGCTCAACTCCACTGAAACAAATGGTAGAGTAGTTTTTAAGGACGGGGTGAACTAGAAGAAAAGTACTGGAAAATATTCATGGGGAGGCCAATCAGTGGAATGTGTTCAGTACATTGAATTATTCCTGAGTTTGCAAATGTTTTTCTCTGTGACTAGGTCATCTGTGTTTCCTAATTGTTACCTATAGAAGTTAGGGTCCTACCCTCCCACAAAGACTGGGAAAAAGGAACACCATCCCCAGTTATTTCTAACAGATCATTCCCAGGTTCTTGACAAAGACCTTTCCTGGATTGTAAACTTGCAAGAGGCTGGGAGAAGATTTACATATCAATGGGACACAGCAAGTATTTATAATTGCATGTTTTCTAAAATATGGAATTTCTGCTCTAGGAAATAGAAGTCAAAGACCTACAGTTAGGAGAAAACCTTTCTGAAGTTTAGTCAAGCAGAAGGGAATTTTAAAGCAGTAGTGCTCATTACCCATTCCCAGCTGTTCCTCAAGGAGCCCTCTCTCTGCCATTGTGTCCACTTTTTTCAGCAAGATAGAAAACATTTAGAGGTTCCAGTTTAGGTCACACTCCCTTACTATTTTCCCACTGTCCCACAAGTTGTGTCAGCTTACCTTAACACCCTTTACCTCTCTACATTCTGAAACCTTTTATCTTTCTTTTGTGAATATCATCTTCAGTTCAGTATTACGATATTTAGCACAATTTATAAACATTTTTTCTAGCCTACTAAAAAAACAAAAAACAAAACCTGTGGATGCCTGACTACATCTGGCCACATGGATAAGACCTGGAAATCTCAGTAGCATCAGAAATAAAATTATCTAATTTTTACAGGGCATATTTTAAGAATCATTGTTTGTAACTTTAAATATAATTAGTGGCCGGGCGTGGTGGCTCATGCCTGTAATCCCAGCACTTTGAAAGACCGAGGGGGGCGAATCACAAGGTCAGGAGATCAAGACCATCCTGGCCAACATGGTGAAACCCCGTCTCTACTAAAAATACAAAAATTAGCTGGGCATGGTGGTGAATGCCTGTAATCCCAGCTACTCAGGAGGCTGAGGCAGGAGAATCGCTTGAACCAGGGAGTCGGAGGTTGCAGTGAGCAGAGATCATGCCACTGCACTCCAGCCTGGTGACAGAGTGAGACTCCGTCTCACACACACACAAAAAATATATACATATATACACACACACACACACACATATATATACATAAATATATAAATATAAATATATGTATAAATATATGTATAATTAGTTAGCCAAGGTAGTAGTTAGTTTGCCAAATGCAAAAACAAAATCATTGACACCAGCAATTAAGTTTTAGATTTGAATTTGGTTTTACTGGGAAAACAGATATTTCAGGTTTCAGGTTCAATCAATCAATCTATAGATAGATTGCTATAGATCTATATCTATATATATACATAGAGGGATAGAGAGAGAGAGAATTGCTGCATGTGTCAGGCACAATGGTAGATTCTTTCACACAGAATCACATATATTTCATGATTTCTTTTGTTCCCTTTTCCCTTCCTCACCTTCTCTGGTCCCTTTCAGAGTATTCAAGTCTTTCCCCACTCCAGGTTTTGATGGTTTATATATATTTAGGGGTAAATTTAAGTTAAATGCATGCTTTTATTAGAGGCACTTTCATAAAATCCTTTTGTCTGAGCACTAGAAAACAATACCCACTATTCAACCAAGAATAGTTTAAAATACATCAATAATGGTCCTCCCAGAGCACATCCCGTGAGTACCTTCTCCTCACTCCCCTATACTCCCAACTTTAGCTTAACTTTCTTAGCTTAGCTTCACGGACATTTCTAGAGGTTAGTTTCTTTTGATTCCTTAAGGTTACATTGATATCATAACCCAGCCCTAGACAGTTGACTTCCTGAGAGCTCGGGGTCTTGAGGGGGACTGAAATCCATCCATGGGTCGACAGCTCTTTCTGTTCCACACCATGTTGGCCATCTGAGTGCTAATCTTCACTGAATCCCAGCCCTTTGTTGCAAAACCTCTGTGCTGCTGAGGGCAGCCTGGTGAAGGTGTGGCCACCTAGGACAAAACTGAAGCAAACTTCTCTCGGGGAGTGGAGGAGTTATGATCATTCAAGGGCCAGTGGAAAGTTTGGGCCATCCTGATATTCATTTGAAAGAGTTTCAAGGGGCTACAAATCAGGAGACATTTTAAGAGAACTTCAAAACTCTGTTAAGTCATTTTTTGACACTGTTTGACTAAAAATAACTAGTGAAAACTTAAGTGTTAGACTTTGGGAATTTATCGTTGACTCAAAAATAGTTAAATGTCTCAAAATTGACAAGACCGTCAAGGGAACAGACACAGAAAAATACATTGTGAGGAAGCCATTTCTCCATAGGCCCTGTTTGAATGAAAATAGCTTTCACTAAATCATTTATCAGTACTGTTCTTTCCTCTTAAAGAGCAAGCAGGAGGCTCAGGAAAAAAAAAATCTGTTAATTGGGTATCAGTAGGTTTTAGATTTTGAATTCAGTTTAGTGTTTTTTTTTTTTTTTTTGAGACACAGTCTCACTCTGTCACCCAGACTGCAGTGCAGTGTTGTGATCTCGGCCCACTGCAACCTCTGCCTCCCAGGTTCAAATGGTTCTCCTGACTCAGCCTCCTGAGTAGCTGGGATTACAGGCACCTGCCACTATACCCAGCTAATTTTTTGTATTTTTAGTAGAGACAGGGTTTCACCATGTTGGCCAGGCTGGCCTTGAACTCCTCATGATTCGCCTGCCTCAGCTTCCCAAAGTGCTGAGATTACAGGCGTGAGCCACTGCGCCCGGCCTCAGTTCAGTGTTTTTTGAACGCCTACCATGCGAGAGCATTGTGCTAAGTAATACATGAGGAACAAAACACAATCCTTCCTGCATAAGCTCTAACACAATGAATAAAAACAGGATTCTAATATACATAGTGAAAAACAGAAAGGATTAAAAGGCATGAACGTGGCAATCAGGTGGCATGGGGCTCAGAAAATTAAGAGACCTTGGGAGTAAGAAAAGCCTTATGAAGAAACAGGACATTTAAATTAGACTTTAAGGAAAATCCTGGATTTTTGATTAAGGAATCAGAATTCATAGAGAGCACACCTGGAATTTCCTCAGGGAGTCAGAAGTGTCCCTAAAGCCATGTCAAGCGTCCACCTTGAACACTTAGTCCAAACACAGTTAACCTAAGGAGACATACAGACTAACTGGGGAGGCATTCATGAATTAGCCATCTGTCACAAATTGTTATGGTCAACAGAATTGTTGTTAAAACAGCAATGACAGAAACAGAATTTGGGTATTGAAGGAACACTCACCAAGATCTTTTTGGGCCATACATCATTTTTGCAGCTATTCTTCAAAAATTTCCAAAAGGAAAATTCACTGTTTAAAAACTGCATAGAGTACAGTACTTGGAATGCACTGGAAGGTCTGTTCAATGGAGCCATAAAAAACTAATGGACCATGATCTAGATGGCGAGGTCATGGGTCACAGACCACAGCCTGTGGGTCAAATCTGTCTAAGACTTCTTTTGGTAGAGTAAGCTAAAAATGGTTTAGACATTGTTCAAATGTTGTTAAAAATTAAAATTAAAACTAAAACAAACAAAAACAAACCAGAGAATGCATGATTAACATTATTTGTGGCCATCAAAGGCTAAAATATTTACTGTCTGACCCTGGTCCTTGACAGAAAACATTTGCTGACCCTGGTCTGGACGATGAATACCTGAGGTTTGATACTGGAGAGATCTCCAGTGATTTTGTGTTCACATATTAGTATTAAGACATTTAAAACAAGTAGTGCTAAATGCCCTCAAATGCATTTCTGTGTGGTCATAACTGAACAAACACATCCAAATGGGACAGATGGAAACAATGAGGCAGAGAAAGAAAAGGATAAGAATGTGCAATAAAAGCCAGATCTCCAAACCTAAATTATTTTCTTCTAACATCTAGATGAGGCATACTGATGATAGGTAGTTTGTTTAACAAGCATTTATTACGACCATATATGTTTGTGTATTTGGAGAGAGACTCAGTATTGTCTTAAGGGATATAATACAGAGAACAGCAGCCCCTTTGAAACCTGTAATCTACATGAACAAACCCCAGAAAACTACAAGCACAGGACAACAACAGAGAAGAGGTTTGAAAGGGAAAAGGGAACAAAAAGTCAGAGAGTGGTTACTGCCAGATGGACCACAAAGTGCCAGCTCACTGAAGGGCAACGAACTTGAGCTATGTTAAGCAAAATCATGTTACATATTAGGAGAAGAAAAAGATTTCCAAAATGAGGAAACAAGGACAAGAGGCAGATATTAAGTGGGGAAAAGCCAAAAACCAATTTTGGAAGTAGCAAGAGGTAAACTGAAATTGTAGGAAGTCAAGCGGCCCTATACAGAGTAGGTCAAAAGGAAACTTTTGGGGAAGCTTTTTAAACAGTTTGAAAAGTTTTTTTTTTGTTTAATTCAAACTTGATTTCTAGTTCTTAATACTGCTAATAACAGTAGTAGTAATGTGAGGTGAAGTATAGTACTAAGGATGTCTATGAACTCATATAATCTCACAGTATTCCTGTGAGGTACAAAATATGAAGTGTTAACAACATCTCTTTACAGACGAGACCCTGATGATCAGATAGGGGAAGTAAATTCAAGGGACAAATGCAGATCTCCTTACCTCTAAAGTGAGTGCTCTTAGCTACTCTGCTATAATATCTCCTGTTCAAAGGGGATCTGGCAGTATATGACAAAAATAGAGTAGAAACAGCAAGTCTTACAAGGAAAAAAATATTGCCAACAGAAGTTTTTGGGCCTTTTATTCAAGCTCACAGTACATGCCTGGAAAGGGAGTTGGTGATAAGCATCCATTTTGAGGGTCAGTCTAGATGCCTACGAGGAAATTGAATTGTAATCCTTACCAAGTAATAGAAGAAAAAAGTTAATAAACCTCTTATCACAAAATTAGACACTTGTAAAGGCCACAGACATTTTGTTTCCCCGAATAAAAAAAGGCAGAAAGCGATGCGTGTGTGGAATTCTGTATTTCAGCGTGTCAGCCATCATTCTCATCCCTGCCATATTTGTATCCTTTGCCTTTATTTCTGACACATAAAAGGAATATTTGATGAAACATATAAAATGCAACTATCAGTCAAGCCTTTAGACAAATATTTTAGTACCAGAATGTTTAGAGCATGTGTTTTGATGTTTCTAAATTACCATATGCTTTTATTGTAAACAGGGACTGCTTCATTTGTAGAATAGCAATGATTCATTATGTTGACTGTTTCTGACATTGTACTGAGTGTGAAACTTAAAGAGAAAACGTAACCCCTGTAATATTCCCAACCTTGACTACCCTGTTTCAAAGACATAACCTGTTTGCATTTTACCACCTTCTGTTACTGTACAGTCTTTCTCAAATACATTTCAATTACCATTGGGAAAAATCAAAAAAGTAAATAATTTGTCCCCATCTATGAATACTGAGTAAAAAAGTAAAAAAAAAAAATCTTCCCCATTTTGCTAAATGGCACAGAAAAATATTGCTGGGATCATAAATGCATAACATTCCTAGTTTTTCTCTGAGAGTGCAAGCCATTTTACTTTAAAAGCTTGAAAACAATCCTTCACGCAACTGAATCTTGGCTGGGGTTGTGTGGGATGATGCAGCAAAGGCTGTAATGAACGATTCCGACATCCCAGAACAGTGTATGCCTGACAGAGCAATGTATACAAACCCGTTCTTGGCTTTTATTGGGCTGCACCAAGCGTACAATTCTCCAGTGAGCCCAGGAGTTAGAAAGTGTCAATTACAAAGAAATGGCTGGCAGATTGAATGAATATTGGTGTGTAATTACCACAGCATCCACCAGCAGCAAAGACTCCAGAATAGTGCACACAAATATTAGTGTCCTTTCCCTGAATAAAACACCCATCTTTACACTGTGTGATATCAATGCCTAACAGAGGTGACGAGGCAGGGTGCAGGCAATTTATTTTGCCAGCCACATGTGACCCAAGATGTTACTCATCACTGAGCAACAACCGCTTTTGCCAAAAGCATTATTTTCAAAAATTTAAGAGAATCCCAGCTCTCTTTTGGCCATCCTAGAGCCCCTTTCTCCTCTAGCTTTACAGTCCAAAAGAAATATAGTCAGGGCATGCTTTTAAACAGTTGTGAGCTGTCAAGCCATGAGCTTTCCTAGAGTCACTTTTACTCATGGACAAAAATGGAGAAGCTGATAGATATCCTGGCTCAGATATTTATAATGTTGTTACACTGATATTTTCTTTCAGTAAAACCTTCAGAGTGTAAGCTCCCAAACTTGATCGCTTTGTGACTGCATTGCAGGTGGCACCAGCAATTCAACAGTTTTGCATCAACTCCTTCCGTTGTTCAAAGAAGAGACCAAAAAGAGTATTATCACCTTTCTTGCACAGTGATGAGGTTCTTTGCTGAGCTACAATCCTTCTAAAACAGCATCTTTTCACCTTTTTACGAAGTCAGGCACTCCTTGGAAAATCTGAAAAAGAGTTATATGCTCTTGCCAGAAAAAAAAAGTTTAAGAAATGTAATAATATGCATGTGTGCACACACACATAGCCCTACCTAAATAAGCCAACTTCATTGGCATGTGACTTATGCAGTTGCAGGGTCTCTTGCTCTGACAGTTGCCATACTTGTTTTAATACTCTGCTGTTGCTATCTTGAAATTCTTAATAATTTTAACTTTGAACTTGTGTTTTGTAAGAGAAATCAGTGGAATAGTGGAGCATGAGCAGAGGAAAAATGTGAAATATGCATGTCCCTAGTCCTTGCCACTCCATTCACATACAGTATTCACAAAGTTTCAGGATCACAGAATTCCAGTGGACCCACAATGTATGAGAGTTCAGCAAGTCTGAAACCAAGGACAAGGTAAACTTTCTTTTTCAGAAAAGTCTCTAAGTTTGTAAACTAAAGTTTTACCCTGGTAAGATGAGATTCTGATTTGGAAACTAAACCCAAAGGCAAGCTCTCTATTGTGTTCATCTCTGGACCCTGGACATGGAGTAGGAGAGGCAGGGTTCCTGTTGGACAGCGAGGGACAAGATAGTCTAGTCCCCCACTGGGCAGAGTCTGGCCCTTGACCCAAGCCAGCTTTTCATTCCCATAATCCCTGCGTACCCAGCTGGAGACAGTAGTGACAACAGCAGAGGTGACAGGGCAGCTGTTACATCAATTCATCAATTACACAGTAAGCAGGGCACCAACAGCCCTAAGAGCGCACGCTTTCAATTCAAACTAGAACTTTCTTCAAACTCAGGGAAAAAATAGTGTTCTAAGAAACACAGCCAAAGATCTCTATCGTATCCTCTCGTTACTGTTACTTCCCCATATTAGCTGACCACCTACATTGAAAATGATGGCATAAAACAAAAAGCAAAGATAGGGAATTCCACAGGTTTTTGGCCTTGAAATCCCCTTTACATATCAGAAAGCCACAGGTAGTGAGTGTTCATAGGACCAAGAAGTGATATGACCAAGTGTGTTCATAGGACCAAGAAGTGATAGGACCAAGAAGTGTACCAAGAAGTGATATGAAACCAGCTGAGTTAGTTTTATGCAGTGCTTCCATTGTTCTGGTGAGAACAAAATACATATGCACAAAAGAAACAGAAATTGTGTAAATTTGGTGATTCCACCTACAGGCTAAATGCATTTATATTTGCATTTTAAATGGCATCACAGAATATAAATATGAATAGCAAAATCCATACTATTAATTTTAAATGTTTTCATTTTATACTTAGAAATTTAAAATGGCAGTCAAAAGATAAACCATGGAAGAAAGGAAAAAACTTTGTATTTTAGCACCTTAAAGATACTACAGATTATAAGACGGCACCGTTTCCCTGTTTGAACAAAAGACCCCATATTTTCACTTTGCCCCAAAATCTACAAATCATGTAGCCAGCCCTGTTCCTACAAATATTTTGCATACAATTTCATGAGAATCCCAGATCCTTATAAGGTGACAAGTTAAGAGGATATGCACGTGTGTGTGCGTGCGCTCATGTGTGTGTGCGTGTAATTTTTATATAATTAAATCTGAATACTTTAGATATGATCAAATGTTTATATTTCACATATATTTTATAAATAATAATATATTTTTCATATATATTTTCTAAATAAAAGAGACTCGTGGGTCAGCCAGGTATTCTTAATAGGGGAATACCTAGCTATAGAGCAATTATAGCTAGGTATATAATGTCAAAATTCAAAAGATTCTGCTACTGAGTTCTCTCCTTTCACTAATTCTCTTATTGTATCAACACCTGAAAGATCTCTTAATCTGTGACAAGACAGCTTTACTCATTTTTTGAAAGAATAATTTTATAAGATAATCAGTAACAAAGAGAAAATGAATTTAAAGACTTATCTGCTAATAAACTGAGACTGTTCTTTAATTACCCAGAGATCTCAAAACAATAATTGTCTATGCTCCAGTGTTCTACATTGTTTTTTAATGAATACACATCAAGAAAACATTATATGTATCTAGCTGATTCCATAAAGTAAATTCCATTTATGTGTCTAAATACTTGCTGGCGCTTATCTAAAATTAATCTCTAATAGAATTTAGAGCCTTTAAATTATTTTTGTTCTCAGAAACCTGTAAAGTACTCATCAATCATGTTCCCAGAAATTGACCAAAGAAGAGTGAAGGGAACTAAGGCTGCAATTTCGAGAAGTAACACACACACCAGGCAGAATCACACCATTTTTTCTTGCCTGATGTTAATTTTTGGATAGCATACATCCAACCAGGGAAGGTAGAAAAATTAGTTGGCTCTTGATGCCTATAAGATCCTACATATTTAAACTCACTTTTATGCCATGTAACAATGGCATTCTTTTGATATATGGATAGCCTAAATTTTATGCCCAAGCCAACCTGACTAAGTGAAAAATGAACGAAGATCAAAAGACCTGGGTTTCAGTATAATTTCTGACACTAAGTTCATGGCCCATTTTAGGTTAGCCAGCCCACCTTCATTGCTTCCTCTCTAAAGGGAGAAGAATGACATGTGTCCTAGCCAGCTTTTATATTGCTGATAAGAATTAACAGAATGTATGAAGACCTCTGAAGGTACAGCCATAAGTCATACAACAATTTGTAACAGCTTTTTAAAATATTATTTCACAGACTTATTTTTCAACTGATATTTGGCTTCTTTCAGTCAACTTCAAAATATTTCCCCAGGCACATGTTTCAAGTGTTGAACTAAGCACTAATATCCCTAACACATAGGTTAATTGGTATATGCTTGGGCACACTGTTGACAAATAATTTGCTATTTCCAGTAAACAGATATGAATGGGATTGGGCATAAACATGATATTATGTATTTGAATAGGTGAAAGCTTACCGTGTTTAAAATCCACTTCTCTGGAATTGAATAAAGGCTATTAAGACTATTTCACTAAATATGTTTTGTCTTCAGAGAGGTTTATGATAGGTTTGGCATTCAGATACCTTCTCAAACACTAGGATTAAAGAGAGCAGTAAAGAAAAGCCATCAGATTTCAGGAAAAAAAGGCATTCAGACAGAACTGCTAGGCTCTGTAGGGGTCTCATGTTTTCAACTGTACATCCTGAGTCAAGATAAAGAGTAGCTTCATTCCAAATAGATATATGCAATCCAGTGTTGCACAAAAAGATGCCAGGACTACAGTGAGCTGTGTCTTTTTCTGAACCTATATTTTGTGTTTCAAGACTCATGTCACATTACCAATCCAACACTAATATTAGTACATCAGAAGTAGAAGTTTGCTATGTGAAGAAATTGTGAATTTTGTTGACTTTACAACCACTTAAGGGTTTTACCATAATTCAATGGCCTGCTCCTAAATTTCTCTATCATTTGAGCATTTGAGAAATAGGTTTCCTAACGTTGCCATAGACCTACTGAATCAAAGTCTTCAGAAGCAGGGTCCAGGAATCTACATATTGAAAGCTCCCATGAATTTCTAAAATCCTGCCAGTTTGAGAACCACTAAGTTCACAGTTCTGAATGTAAAGCATGAAGATGGTAAAGTCGATGTACACCCATGGCCTTCCTGCTGTTGGTGGGTAGTTGCTTATTTTCACTGGTTGCTTGTTTTTGTTGAAAACTAACACCTCTTGGTGAACTAGAGGGTTAGATGTTACCGATGGGTGTTTTGATTCATTTTGATTCAACGACCTTTAATACAGTACATTGGTTCTCAGATTTCAATATGCATTAGAATCATCTGGGGTTTTATTAAAATGCAGATTCCTGGGCCCCATCTGTTACTATAACTCAGTAAGTCATATGTAGGAAGATGAAATTAACATTTTTAATAGCACCATAGATGCTCTGAAGTGCCTGTTGAAGTAATGCTGCTGTAGTAAGTGCAGTGTGTTCTAAGATCCTACCTTGCATTTGTGCTTTAAGAAGAACCCTAATATTCACGCTCTTATTTAATCTTTACATGTTGGGAGGTAAGATAGGTATCAGTACCCCTACATGGCAGATGAAGTTCAAAAATGTGGCAAATATTAAATACCAGATCGAGTAATCAAAACTAATACCATATCCATTGCTCCTCCCAGAAATGAAAATAAAGAAAAAAATACTGAAAAATTATAATGTGCTGACCAAATCTTAAATCAGACATTTACCTGTCTAATGATCTTCAGAAATTACTTTCAAGGAAAATCTAGAGGAAAGTTGAATAGGTTGAGTGTCTGAAACAAAATCCAAATCTAAATTCTCCCTCTCAATTCAACAAACAATTTTAGGGAATCTATTTTATACTAGATACCATGGTAAGTATTAATAAAACTCCAAAGTGGAATTTATCAAAAAAAATTGTTAACCAATTATTAAAAGTATGAGGAGTATTGAAAAATATTGGGAGAGGTGTTATGGGCTGAATATTTATGTCTCCCAAAAAGTCAAAAGTTGAAACCTGTATTAGTCCATTTTCATGTTTCTGATAAAGACATACCCAAGACTGGGCAATTTACAAAAAAAAAAAAAAAAAAGATTTATTGGACTTATAGTTCCACATGGCTGGGGAGGCCTCACAATCATGGTGGAGGGCAAGGAGGAGAAAGTCATGTCTTACATGGATGGCGGCAGAGAAAAAGAGAGCTTGTGCAGGGAAACTCCAGTTTTTAAAAACCATCAGATCTCGTGAAACCCATTCACTATCACGAGAACAGCATGGGAAAGACCTGCCCCCATGATTCACTCATCTCCCACTGGGTCCCTTCCCACAACACGTGGGAATTATGGGAGTTACAAAATGAGATTTGGGTAGGGACACAGAGTCAGCCAAACCATATAAAAACCTAATTTTCATGATGGCACTATTTGGAAGTGGCACCTCTAAGAAAATAAGTAAAGTTAAATGAGGTCATAAGGATGAGGGTCTCATCCAATAGGATTAGTGACCTTAGAAGAGATGCCAGAGTTCTCTCCCTCCTATGCATGCAATAAGAAAAGGCCACATGAGGACATACAAAGATAGTGACCATCTACAAGCCAGAAGAGAGGCCTGTTCAGAAAATGAATTTGCCAGCACCTTCATCATGGACTTCTACCGTCCAGAACAATGAAAAAATTAATTTCTGTTGTTTAAACCATCCAGTTTGTGGTGTTTTGTTATACAGAGGACATGAATAATATAGGAGGGAAGGCCTAGACACTAGGGGCTATGGTTGAATTTAGAAGTGTGTGGTGTTGGGCCTAAAAGTACGACCCAATATTACGTGCTGCCTTGACATCTGGAATAACCAGAAAGACCTCAAACAGCCTAGCTGCAAGTTCCTTTCCCCACTCTACTCCCACAGATAAGATCCTGCAGCAAAACAGCCCGACTTATCAAGAAACTAGGTATAAATCCTACTTATTCCACAGGAGTGGCCTTCAGTTCCCTTCTAGCCCATGGAATTATTCAAACAAGCCAATCACACCCTCCCATGGGAACTAGGGGTCACTCCAACCTCTTGATACTACAAAGCCTGCTTCCTGTAGCCCACACTTATTCACTTTGTTCCCAAGCACAACCCCATGTGGCCCTGCAAGGCCTGTGACATTCTCCTCCCTCAAGTTGCAAGTATGTGGAATTAATAAACTGTTGTCATGTCACCTCTCCAGTATCGGGTACTGCATGATCAGCTATCTCCATAGTTACAGAATAGGAACTCCTCCCTCACCAATAGGGTGAAGAGGAAAAGATTAAAACACATTGATAGGGCTGGATCTACCTCCAATATCAAAAGATTCAAATTAATAGAATAATCTTTTATCATTGTTTAATTACAATATTTTTCGAAAATGCCATTGAAAATCATATTCTCCAGCCAGATTTTTAGAGCAGGGGTCCTGAACCAGTAGAGGTGGACCTCTTTTCACATATTAAAGGAGGTCTTCCAAATAAGTTACGTTAAAATTGGGCAATGTCACGCTTTACTTTCATTTCCAAGTGATTTTGGCTAACCCATTTGCCATATATTTCTCTGTGAATTTTTAATCCATTTCACTCTAAAAAAAAAATCTCATAATCTGTAAACAAGGATGGATAAATACCAGAAAATCTCTGTAAGGAAGAAAACTGTGTAGCAAGTAATTTAAAACAAAGACATCATTTAAAATGCATAGAGACCCCTACTACATCATGCTTCGAAGGACAATGCTTTTGTATTTTTAATTTCCTTAAAGCAAAGCACATCTTTGCAGCATTTCTCTTATTTCCCCACCTATGTAGCACATGAACTGCTCAAAACTGACACATTCAAGTGCCACCAGCAAGGCCTGAATGAGAAAGGCTTTGTAATTCAGCCTCTGTGATCTTTTATATAAATATTGCTTTGAGTTGGACAGTAGAAAAGCCCAGGGTAGCAATATAACGCCAACTTGACAGACACTTTACAACCACTGCCAATATCATACTATATCAGAATCTTGCCTAAGTATGAAAGAAGAATGTTCCAGAAATCACTTAAGGTGATAAACTCGTCCCCAAAGAGATTTAGAATTGATTCCTCAGCTAAGTATTTCTCCACCTCTTTCATTATGCCTCCTGAAAATAAGAATGCAGATAAGGGACCATTCTACACAGAAATGCTCCTCAGCAGAAAGCTGTGGTTTGGGCTCTAGGATCTTGATATCTCACTGGCTTGAGATTTCTGCTGCACCCCTTACTAGCTGCAAGAACTTCAGCAAGTTTATCTTTGTCTCTGTACCTCAGCTTCTCCATGTTTAAATAGAAACAATTTCAGTACCTCGGTATGGAAAAGGAATGAATCAGTGAATATATGCTAGGTCCGTAGAACTGTACTTGGTTTACAGTAAATGTTCAAAAAATGTTAGCCACTTTTATTACAATCTTTTTAGATTTTACTCCCCTCCAAACTGTGAGACATTTTTGCTTACAATAAAATCATCCATTTATTGCTGAACAGGATCTTCAAGATGATTTAATTCACTTCTTCTTTCCTTCTACCTTATGGTTGAGCAAACTGAAACTCAGATAGTATCACCTGCCCAAAGTCTTGGTAGAGTCAAAAACAGAACTCAGGACTCTGGAATCCCAGAATTTTAAGAGCAGAAATGCTCTTTCAAAAAGAACTCTCAGAGGTCTCATTTAATTGTGACCCAGGTATCAGCCTTATGCAACCTGTCTTAAAGGAAAACTCAAGCTCAAATTTATTTTCTACTTCAATTTTCCTTTAAGTCAGATGGATTCTTTTTTTTTTCCACTAATCCTTTTTAATGAGAAAAACCTGAGTTGTACATACCACAAAGAGCTTCAAGTTTCTATACCAACTCCAATGACCAAACAATTGAACATAACCTGAAGCATCATTTTTAATGTGGAAAGTTTCAAAAACTTAACTCACAAAAACATCCCTATAGAGGTGTCATGAACATATGATGGAGAAAAGACAATCTCTTCAATAAATGGTGCTGAAAAAACTGAGTATCCATATGCAGAAGAATAAAACTAGATCCCTATCTCTCAACATATAGAAAAATCAAATCAAAATGGATTAAAAACTCAAATCTAAGACCTCAAACTATGAAACAACTAAAAAAATACTGAGAAATTTCTCCAGAACGTTGGTCTAGGCAAAGATTTCTTGAGCAATATTCGAAAGCACAGGCAACCAAAGCAAAAATGGACAAATTGGATCACATCAAGTTAAAAACATTATGCACAGTAAAGGAAACATAGTGAAAAGACAACCCACAGAATGGAAGAAGATATTTGCAAACTATTCATCTGGACAAAGGATGAATAACCAGAATATATAGGAAGCTCAAACAATTCTATAGGAAAAAAAATCTAATAATCCAGTTAAAAAAAATGGGCAAAAGATCTGAATAGACATTTCTCAAAAAAAAAAAAAAAAAAAAAAAAGACATACAAATGGCAAACAGGTATATGAAAAGGTGCTCAATATCATTGATCATCAGGGAAACGCAAATCAAAACTACAATGAGATATAATCTCACCCCAGTTAAAATGGCCTCCATCCAACAGACAGGCAATAATGAATGCTAGTGAGGATGCGGAGAGAGAGGAACTCTCATACACCACTGGTAGTGATGTAAATTTGTATAGCTGCTGCAGGGAATAGTATGGAGGTTCTACAAAATATCTGATAGAATTACCATATGATCCAACAATTCCACTACTAGGTATTTATGCAATGGAAATGAAATCAGCACGTTGAAGAGATATCTGCATCCCCATGTTTATTACAGCACTATTCACAATAGCTAATATTTGAAAACAAGTTAAGTCTCCATCAGTAGACAAACAGATAAAGAAAATGTGGTACACATAGATGATAGAGTGCTATTCAGCCATACAAAAGAATGAGATCCTGTCATTTACAACAACATGGATACAATTGTAAGATATGTTAAGTGAAGTAAGCCAGGCAAAGTAAGACAAACTTCACATATTCTCACTAATTTGTGGGATCTAAAAATAAAAACAATTGAACTCATGGAGATAGACAGCAGAAGGATGGTTACCAGAGGCTGGGAAGGATAATGGACAGTGAGCAGAACAGGGATGGTTAATGGGTACTAAAATATAGTTAGGTAGAATCAGTAAGATCCAGTATTTCGTAGCACAATAGGGTGCTACAGTCAACAATAATTTATTATACATTTCAAAATAACTAAAAGAGTGTAATTGGAACGTTTGTAACACAAAGAAATGATAACTGTTTTAGAGAGCATAGAGACCCTATTTACCCTGATATGATTATTTCACATTGCATGCCTGTATCAAAATATCTTATTACCCCATAAACATATATACTATGTACCCATAAAAATTAAAAATTAAAAACAAAACTTAAAAAAAAATTTAATAAATGAAATACCAGAACAAATATTAGTATTCTTGATAGGTGTGGCCTCACTACAGAGCATTAGGGCATTTTCAGATTGGTGCTGTCAGGGCCTCTCTTGCTTATATTATCTAGCCCTGTAGAGAAAGGTATCTAAGAAATTGATCTCTGTCTGGGAAAACTGAAATTTTGCTCTTGGGTAGTAAGGACAAAAAGTTCCCAATCTAAAGCTTTGTATAAGGAAAATCACTGCCAATATTAAATCTAGTTTAGATCTAGCTGAGATAATTTATAGGTCATTTTTCCTTCCTACATCTGTAATGTAAAATTGGAATTTTCATATACATTTACACTTGGATTTTCAAAAGCTATTTCAGATTTGAATCAGAATATAGTAGTAACATTTGTTCTCATGTGCTACTTTTGCAGGAGGAATGTAGCGGGCGGGGAAGAAAGGGATGCCCTGACATATAAAGGTACGGAAATGGAAATTGTCCATATTCTTATAAGTGCTCGTCACAATGTTTAAATGATGAACATTTGAGCCAAAGTATTAAGTTCTGATACAAAGGAGGCAGCAGCAATGTAATTCTAATTTCTTTTAACCAAAATGTAATTTCATGTTGAGCCTATTTAGTTTTAAATACTTGACAGTAGAATGGGCTATGACATTTATCCCATAAATATTTATTTACCAAGTCCTAAGTTCAATTTAGTTTGACTCTGTCTGTAACAGAAAGGTGAAAAAATATGGTCTCTGTTCTTACATTTTAGGTGGCTCATACTACTTACCATAAAAAGTACAAAGTGTTATAAGACTAAGAGAAAAGACCACTTTCATAAAATGATAAGGTCTGTGAAAAAGGTAATCATATTTCCCTAATATTGGAAGGTAAGTCATTTTGCAACTTCCTATTCTAACCAAGTAAATACTTTAAAAGGCAGCATTAAAAGATACTGCCCATATGCCCTAATTTAAATGACATCATGGAATACTTACAGCAAAGTTTCTAAAGGTTCACAGCAATTTTTTCAAGTCATCTAAGTCCATAACAAATGATTATGGAATCTCTATAGATTTTTATCCACACAATGAATTTTGGTAATATGGTAAAGGTCAGAAACTCAAATAAGGTGATCATGAGTCTCATTAATTCCAAACAATATGAAATATGCTATTTAATATCCTTTTTCTCTTCTGTGTGCCCTTTCCTTAATTTTTAAAGCAAACAATTAATCCTCTGCTTTGCACCAGCATGTTTTGATTAATAAGGATTTTATAACTTATGAAACAATCCAATAGCTCACTGTATTATATAATGGAATAGTCAGCACAGAGGATTCCGGAAGATTTCATTTGAAACTTTTCACATAATGAAAAGTCATTCTTTACTTTCCCTAAAGATCTAGCTTATAGATTATTCTGTGCATATTTCCCAAGTAAATAAATATATTAATTTCTGAGAATAAATCATATAAATTTTAAAAGAAAGCCCCTGGAAGCACACCTATTCTTATTTTGTAAAATGCTGAGGTCATCTTAACATGGGAAAACAAAAAGGTGTCCTTAACAACTGAAAAAAATAGCAGTATTAAGATAAGATTTTGAAAATACAGGTGTTAGGGAGAAAATAATTTCTAGTATTGCAAGGTCTTCGTTTATTCAATACAATGTCATTTGAAAAGACTTCACACCTATATAATCTTTCAAGAAGGAAATTACATTGAATATACGACGAAAACCTTAATTAAAGCAACATTTTCTGTGTCTCTTTCTTCTCCAGCTCCATAAGAGGATTACATCTTTAGCTAAGGGCCTTTTGCTTTCAGTTCTATTATCTTGCTTTTTATAACAGATTTTGAGCTAACGCTACACCAAGTAACAGTCTTAGTCTCCCAAACCTTGAAAAAATACACATAAAAGCCCCCAACTACTATCTTTTATTTTTTCTTCTTATTATTAAATGTGCGTCTTCGTGTTGATTCATCTTCAAGAAGATATGAGAACTCAACAGCTAGTGGTAAAGTGGATAAATGGGAAAGAAATCAAAGCAGCGGCTAAACAGTAGGAAAGGACTATAAAGAAAGTATAGAAGATGTGCTAGATGGAGGATCACAGCCAATACAGAGAAGGGGCAAAGTCACATGCAATCAGGAAAACAGTTATTATAACTCCTTCCATCATCAGTCTCAGCAGAGAAAAAGAATGAGGGTAAGAAGTCTTATTACAAGTATCTCTAATAACTCCCAGTCAT
Source organism: Homo sapiens (assembly GCF_000001405.40). Classification (NCBI taxonomy): domain Eukaryota; kingdom Metazoa; phylum Chordata; class Mammalia; order Primates; family Hominidae; genus Homo; species Homo sapiens. Next base: position 53,200,992 of record NC_000002.12, read on the forward strand.
CAGTACAGGGTTCTAGCCAAGTTGGCCTCACTACCACCTGTCCCCACTTGTGCTGTGTTCACCTCTGTTTTTCTTTGTCTTCTCTCTTTCTAGAGGGCCTTCCTCCTCACTCTTCACTGGCTAGCCACATCTTACCCTTCAAGTAATCAAGTGTCAATTCTACCTCCTCAAGAAAACATGCTTCATCACAGCTGCTGGAAGTGATCTTTCCTCCTATGAGCCCCTGAAGCTCTTAAATCTAGCCCCCAAATCTGTCACATGCTTACCTCCCAAAGAAAAGCTCTTTCTTCCGGCATGCACCATCCTGTTCCTCCTTTTCTTTGTAATTCCTATCACTTACCAAGATTCCCTTATCGGGGGAGATGGAATTTGAGATGGGCCCCAAGTGTTGGCTGGATTTTATACATATGATGAAAGACGTGGAAGAAAATTCCAAGTCAAACATAAAAAGTTCAACCAAGAACTGTGACCTAAGACTGGGCAGGCCTTGCATGGGGTAAAATGAGTATCTAAGATGTTGTTCATGCAGAGCATGAGTCCTCACTCTTGTTCGGGTTGATGGAATATAATAAACTGGTGCGTACAATATCACATAAACTATCCATAACGCAAACAATTCTAAAAGAAAATGTGATTAAATAAAATTGCATACAACATTAAAACCACAAACATATTTCTTCAAAAAATACAAATCTGTCCAATTAGACTGTTTTTTTTTCCTCAACATTTTCTGTTTGCCACTTGCTCACTGATCATGTAACGGGCTGAAGCAAATTCCAAAGGTTTGTGGAGAGGAGATACAATATGGAAAGAAAAAAAATAATCAGAGAAAAGTTGATTCACTAACCATATTGCTTTCTGAGAACTTCAGGAAAACTCCTCTTTTTTAATCTATTCTAGAAGCTTGGTTGAGCGTCACTGATTTAGGGCAATAGGAGAAAATGAAGTTATACAGGTAGAGAGAGGTCAGCTCACTTGTACTAGTTTGGGTTCAGCCACAAATACTCAAGAGAGCATTTATTGCCTCCCCTCTGTGTGAAGTCTCGGAAGAATTTAATGTGCCTAAACACCCCATTCAGATATGCTGCTTTAAAATATATATTTCCTCCACTTTTCCCTAAACTATTTTCTTATTGCCTAGTTGACTGGTGTAACTGTGTAAACATTTGGCATTCGAGCTGAATGAGAATGAGATGAAATGGCAGCTCTCCCAGCCGTCTTATTTCACAACATAGAAGTAAAACTGGCATTGCAGAGAATGTCATAATTCATGTGTGTCAGTCCTGAGGTGTGTAAAAGTGGTTGGGAGCAGGAATGCCACAGCCTATTCAAAACCACAGATAAGAACAGATATTCTATCCTGTTGCCCAGAGTGACATCTACTGGATCAGCAAGTTCAAAACATAAATGCAAAACATTTCTCCCTTCCTTAAACAAAAGCAGAGAGGTGGACGTGCAAAGATATGTAAAAGATGGAAAGGCCAGTGGATCCTAGAAGTCTATTTGGGCCCAGAGTCTACCCAGTAACTGGAATGCTGATGTACCAGCTTCTCAGGAGAAAAGTCTTTGGCCACTGGAAGAGAAAAAGTTTCAGAACAGGTAAAAAGGAGAGAAACTGGGATAATGTCATACTTCTTTTTTTTTTCCTTTTGAAGGCAGAACACCCTCTCCCAATCTAAACAGTAAAGTTACCAACTTCCTAATCTTACCAAAAAGAGAGCCAATTTTCCTGTTGAGAGAGAGGTAGCAATGTTCAATCTGCCAAAACTAAATGAACCAATTAAAGTGTACAACTACATACCACCTACCTAGCAAGAGGTCCACGCTGTCTACTAAGAGAACTGTGGCCTTGCTTCAACATTGAGTCTACTTTAAAAACAACAAATGAGGAGAGTATCCAGAGAGTTGCATATTTCCTTTTACAGTAATATTAAATGGCTATAATCAAGTAACAATAATCACATACACGTCACATGTTTTAAATAGGCTAAGGAGGATAGAGGTACAAACTGTGATTTCTGCCTCTTAACAGCTTATGACCTTCTTGGGGGTAAATGACACATCCACACACAAAAGTAACCAACACCGGGTAATGAGTGTTCAATATCATGTGAGAGATCACAGTTACTTTTCCTTCCATCTGTTCTTCATTCTGTAGGGTCTTTTCTTTCTTAATCTTCTCCATCCCTCCAAAAAACTTTCAAATATGAATGCTTATTGAAAAATAATATTTTTACCCTTTCCTTATAAATACTACCTTCTTCCTTTTACACTCCACTTTCTTTAAAGACTAACATACCTTACTGTCTTCTCCTCGTCTAGCACAAGCCCCTCAACCCACTGCAATACGACTCTGGCTCCACCATCTCACTGAAACACAAACTCTTGCTAAAGTAGAAAATGACTTCCTAGTTGTCAAATCCAAAGGATACAGTTCACCGAAGTTTAATTTAATGTCTCCTTGCTTATGATTTTCTCTGTCTTGGCTTCTAAGTCACTAGTTCTGATTTCACTACCTCATTGCTAAATTCTCCTTCTAAGCTCAAGTAGTCCATCCACAAGCATTTCTGTGAAAGACTGTGTTAGACACTGGGGACATGGAAATGAACAGGTTGCTTTTCCTACCACTGATTTCTCTTCCTCCAGATCATCTCTTAAACACTTGTGGTCCATGGGTTTTTCTGTCCTCAGAACTCTTATGCAATAGTCTCTCTAAAAGGAGCTTATCCAATTTCACTGGCTGCAGCCTCTACATAGATTTTTCTTAGACCTGTGTATCCAGGTCTCCTTTCTGCTGCGCTCCAGTCCTTGGTTTCCAACTACCAACTAAACATCTCTATCTGAATATCCCAAAGGCATATAAATGCCAACATTAAAAGCTGGATTCATTATCTTCTTTGCTAAAAACTTCTCTTATGCTCACACTAGAACCTTGTCCTCAACTCACCCTCTTTTTTCTGTCACATCCAACTGAATAGTGTGTTCCATTAATTCTATTAAAAATTGTTTTAGCAAGGCATGGTGGCTCATGCCTGTAATCCTACTGCTTTGGGAGACTGAGGTGGGAGGATCTTTTGAGCCCAGGAGTTCAAAGCTTCAAAGAGCTACGACTGCATGACTGCACTCCAGCCTGCATGACGGAGCAAGACCTAGTCTCTAAAAAAAAAAAAAAAAAAAAAAAAATATATATATATATATATATGTAGTTTTGCCCCTCCATTAAAAAGTGGGCAAAGGACATTAAACACACATTTCTCAAAAGAAGACACACAAGCAGATGAGAAATATAAAAGAATGCTCAACATCACTAATCATCAGAGAAATGCAAATTAAAACCACTATGAGATATCATTTTACACCAGTCAGAATCGCTAGAACAGTCAAAAAACAACAGATGTTGGTGACGGTGCAGAGAAAAGGGAATGCTTATACACTGTTGGTGGGAATGTAAATTGGAACAACCGCTATGGAAAAGAGTATGGAGATTTCTCAAAGGATTAAAAAATAGAGCTACCCTTTGACTCAACAATCCCACTATTGGGTATCTACCCAAAGGAAAAGAAATCTTTATATAAAAAAGACACCTGCAGTTGTAGGTTTATAGCAGCACTATTCACAATAACAAAGTAACCTAACTATCCATCAACCACTGATTGGATAAAGAAAATGCAGTGTATATACACCATAGAATATTATGCAGTCATAAAAAAGAATGAAATCATGTCCTTTGCAACAACATGGAGGCCAATATCCTAAGCGAAATAACTCAGAAGCAGAAAATCAAATACTGTGTGTTCTCACTTATAAGTGGAAGCTAAACAATGGATACACATGGACACAAAGACAGGAATAATAAACACTGGGGACTCCAAAAGGGGGAAGAGGTAGGAAAGGAGTGAGGGTTAAAAATTGACCTTTTGGGTACAACGTTCACTATTTTGCTGACAGGTACATTAGAATCCCCACCATTACAAAATATATCCATGTCACAAGCCAGCACATGTACCTCCAAACCTAAAACAAAATAAAATTTTAAGAAATGTTTTGATGTTAAATTTCTACTATTAAAAATTTTAAATTAAACAGCCTTCATCAGTTCTCTTCCTCTCCAGTCTCTTCTTGTAATCTTCTTCAAAACTTCCACCAAAGATTTTTCTTCTGAAATGCAAATCTGATCATGGAACTCTTTTTACCAAAATTACCTCAATGATTTCCTATAGCACAGAATGAATATTAAATTCCTTGGTAAATTGTTCTATATGCTCCATGAGCCCCCTGTCCCCTACAATCTACCCATCCAGAATCATCTTTCATTTCTCCCTCAGACACTCCACAAACTGCAGATATGCTGAACTGTTTAATGTGGATGCCTCTGAATAAGGCACTCCTGCACAGCTCTTTTCAGAGAAGAAGGTCACTAAGACTATTTGAACAACTCCAAAATTAAGTCCAGGAGCCTAGGCTTGAATAAAGTGCTAGAGAGTAAGAAACTGAAGATGCAAAAGGCCACTCGGTTTATTTCTCCAAGAAGTTTTCCACAGTAAGAAAACCCTTGAGAAGTCAGGGTCACAGCCAGCCAGTTCTATGCATTAAACCAGAATAATGAAAGTGAGAAAATGTACCATAGAAAACACAGCCAATATTCCTTGTGATTGCCACATTGAGCTGCTCTTTGAAGCCAGGCAGAGAATCAAATCTGATTCTTAAAAGGCTCATGGGAGTCTGAAAATATACATCAAATCACATTCAATCATCAACAAAAAGAAAGCCTTTCTTAGTTGCTGCTGTATTTTCAAATCTCTATTTAAATTAATAAATATACTTCTGGAGGAGGTTAACCATATGAGGCAATTTCTCTCTTTTGCTAACAGCCAAGATGAAAAACAATTATAAATTGCAGGCAAAACAAAAAGTTGCACAAAAAAACTCACAATCCACATTTCAAGTAAACCAGTATCTAATATATGGCATGATTTTGAATAATTGGTGGCATGCATAGAAGAAAAACTATTTGAATTTGATTCCTACAGCATTCTCCCTTTAGCAGCACAAGTTTAGTGATACACATTTATTCACAGTACTGGGCTCTCCAAGAAATAATATTACTGAGCACTTACTAAGTGCCATGCATTGCTCTGAAGACATTACAAGTACTCACATATTTAATGCTCATAACAACACTATCAGGTAGGCATTATTTTATGGGCATTTTACATATAGAGAAATGGAGGCACAGAGAAGTTAAGTCATTTATCCAAAATAACAAAAGCCCAGCCAGAAAGTAGTGTAGTACAACTATCTGATCTTTGACAAACCTGACAAAAACAAACAATGGGGAATGGACTCCCTATGCAATAAATGGTGCTGGGATAACAGGCTAGCCATATGCAGAAAATTGAAACTGGACTCCTGCCTTACACAATATACAAAAATTAACTCCAGATGGGTTAAAGACTTAAATGTAAAACCCAAAACTATAAAATCCCTGGAAGACAACCTAGACAATACCATTCAGGACGTGGGCACAGGAAAAGATTTCATGACAAAGATGCCAAAAGCATTTGCAACAAAAACAAAAATTGACAAATGACATCAGATTAAACTAAAGAGCTTCTGCACAGCAAAAGAAACTATCAACAGAGTAAACAGGCAACTTACAGAATAGGAGAAAAATTTGGCAAACTATGCATCTGACAAAGGTCTAATATCCAGCATCCATAAGGAACTTAATTTACAAGAAAAAAACAAGCCCATTAAAAAGTGGCAAAGGACATGAACAGACACTTCTCAAGACATACATGCGGCCAATAATCCTATGAAAAAAAGCTCAATGTCATCCATCATTAGAGAAATGCAAATCAAAACCACAATGAGATAACATCTCACGCCAGTCAGAATGGCGATTATTAAAAAGTCAAAAAATAACAGATGCTGGCAAGGTTGTGGAGAAAAAGGAATGCTTATACACTGTAGGTGGGAGTGTAAATTAGTTCGACCATTGTGGAAGACAGTATGGTGATTTCTCAAATACCTAAAGAAAGAAATACCACTTGACCAAGAAATCTCATTACTGGGTACATACCCAAGGGAACATAAACTGTTCTATTATAAAGACACATGCATATGTATGTTCATTGCAGCAGTATTCACAATAGCAAAGACATGGAGTCAACCTAAATGCCCATCAGTGGTAGACTGAATAAAGAAAATGTAGTACACACATAACATGGGATACTATGCAGCAATAAAATAGAATGAAATCATGTCCTTAACAGGGACATGGATGGAGCTTGAGGCCACTATCCTTAACAAACTAACACAGGAACAGAAAACCAAATACCACATGTTCTCACTTATAAGTGGAAGCTAAATGATGAAAACACACGGACACATAGATGGAAACAACACACACTGGGGCTTATTGGAGGGTGGGGAGTGGAAGGAGGGAGAGGATAAGGAAAAATAACTAATGGGTGCTAGGGTTAATACCTAGGTGATGAAATAATCTGTACAACAAACCTCCATGACACACATTTACCTATGTAAGAAACCTGCACGTGTACACCTGAGCTTAAAAGTTTTTGAAAAACATAAAAAAAGATCCTCAAGTACATTAATTAGAGTACCTAAAACTAAAATTGTTGAAAGCAGTTATCCATGGAGAGCAGAACTCTGAATGAGAAAGGTAACGTAAAGGATGATTTTAGTTTTTCCGTATGCTCTTTCCTTATGTTATTTTCTTTGTTGTTTGCATTTTTCCCTCAAGGTTGAAAGCAATTTGAATGACTCTGAAATGATAAACTATTAAATAATAAAGCAAGTTATAAAATGATACACATACTCATATATGTATACGTGTGTGCAGACATATTATATATGTGTGTGATCCCATACACATGCACACACAAGACAGAGAGAAAAAAATAGATATAGCTAGATATATTGAAAGAGAGATGTTAATATTCACAACGATTATTGCTGGAGAGTGACATTAATTATTCTTCTTTAGGCTTTTATTTTCATTTTTCTTACAATAAGTATGTACACTATTTTATAATTAGAAATATATATATATTTTTTTAAACAGCATGGTTGTGTTTATTCATTGCTCAGAGGATGGAAATGGAAAGGATTATTTACCTTATTAAACGGAATTTTTTTCTGCTGAAAAAATAAAGTTGTTTTTTAAACGTTTTATTTAACCTTCTAGAAGCTCTAATTCTTCAGAAATCTAGACCTTTCTTTGACAAGCTCATCAGTGCCAAGACCTCTTAAAGAAAATTTTACTTGTCTGACAATTCCATTGCTACATAATATTCAAGTATCATTCAGCCCTATACAACTCAGATCTTACGGAAAAATCTACTTTTAACATTTGACCCTCTTATTAAAATATAAAGCCTATCTGGCTTAAATGCAGATTTTCAATACTACAAACAAAAAGTCTTTTCCAAGGTGGGCATGCTTACAGTCACAGGGCCTATCTGGCCTATGTGACAACTATCTATCATGAACCTTGACAATAAAATAAACATAGACGTTTAAGAAAATCCACATCAGCTGACACAATGTAAAGTTTCCAGGGAAATAGAATAGATTTTACAGTAGCTAAAGAGCTCAATAAATCATTCAGCACAATCCTTCACCTTCAGGCGGATAAAACGCCATTATTACCATATTATAGATAAATCACCTGAGACCCAGGGGGGGTTAGTGCCTTCCCCCAGGTCATAGAGATAATGTGTGAGAAAAGAGGAATTAAAACTCAAGCCACCTGCTTTCCCCTGAAAAAGCTTCTCCTGACAAAATACACGGTGTCATCGGATAATGGTGAGAGAGACATGCCCGTGTCACCAACTCAGAAATGATCTTCTTCTTTTTTCCAGGAGAGTGTTAACAACAAGGTCTATGCACAGTTCATCTCTCACCTGGATTTCCTGCAGCTTCTTCCAGAGACTTCAGATAGTCCCAGTGCTAGTTGCTGCTTCTCCAGATGTTTTTTATTTCCCCCGAGTGGCTTTCTACACTCTCATTCACACCTCCTTTCTATTTATAGACCAGTGGCAGTGTCTTCGCCCCTGCTTCTAAACCTTTCACCAGAAAAGCCTGCACTCTTATTACCTTCTCAGAATATTTACTTGTTCACATAGGTGTATCATGTTACGCTCCAAATACATTTTCTCCTGTGTCCTCAGCTGTAAAACCTTAGCATTCTCTTTTTTGTGAATCTCAAGATATTATATAACTCCTTACACTGAACTCCAAAGCAGACAGCTAGTCACCCTTTCCTTACTCTCTCAACACTTTTCTTTTTCCTTCAACCTTTGGTCCTGTGTAAATACTTGCATCTAATAGTGTAATATTTGAGGGCAGCATGAACTGTGAGACCTATGTGCAAAAATCCCAGTCGCCTTTCCTCATTCATTTAATAAATGTCTTTTAAGTGACCACTATATGTCAAACCCTGGTATACATGTTCAGTATTTGAGAATGAATAAGGTCAGAGACACCATCCCTAACCTTAAGCATCTCAGAGTCTTGGGTGAAGAGAATGGGAATGCTAAGCTGTAAGGCACATGTACAATTAGTCATACTACCATGCTCTATTACACTGCAGTACTATACTCAATATATGTGAGAAGTGCTAAGGCAAAAGAGAGGAAAGCAATATTAATTCCACATGACATTTGAGCCAGGTTTAGAAGGGTTACTACAAAATCATCCGGAGGCAGGGCAAGAACCTTCTAAAGAGAAGGAACGTAAGTTTGGGATGAAAGAAGCCCAGTGAGAGGGAGTATTATTATTAATATTTAGTTCAATTTGCCAAGGTAGCATATGACATCATGTACTAGATGGCAGTAAAGAAATGCTGCTGTCTACAATGGAGACACACCCCCAAGTTAAACCTGAGTAAACCTGGCTCCCTCTGTGAACTGTCACCCTTGAATAAACGAATACTGCCTGGGTCCTGTGGCATCTTTTCTGGGCACAAAATTTTATTTTAAAGGACATTGGGAAGCTAATCATGAAGCAGCAGAAACAAAAGCTGTCTACATTCCCCTGCTGCAAAAAAAAAAAAAGAAAGAAAAAAAAAGAAAAAGGGGCTCCGTTAGAGGAGATGTTGAGTCTAAGAAAACAAATAAAAGTTGTTCTGAAAGGAGAGGCAATTAAGTTTTTGCCAAACATGACAGAAAGCTGAGAACTGAAGCAGACAGAGTAATGTCTATCTTTGGCACACCAGACAGGCAGGAAAAGAGTGTGTGTCTTTGATGGCAGACTTTATTTTAAAGGTGCTAACTGACATTTTGAAAGGACATGAAAACATGGAAACGAGAGAGCTCTTCAGGGCCCTGCTGTCTGGGCTGCAGAAGCTCCCAAATGCCCCTAGGGTTTTCATTCTCCCAGACTAAGGCTAGCACAAGATAAGGTGCAGAAAAGAAAAGAAGAAAAATAAAACAAGTCTCTATCTTAAAGCAGCTACATGAATTCATATGATGCATTTAAGTCGAAAGTATAAAGAGAAAGACAGTTCCTGGCTCCTGAAAGAATCTTGCAGAGGGATGCTCATTTGTTACAGAAGGGCAGAGTTATGTCCATCATCTGACCAGTCAACAAAGTGCATATATGTTTTTATAAAGAAGCCTGTGACAATAGCAGAACAGGAACAAAAGCTTATTTCTAAGGCAACTGGTGACTCGAGTATTGGAGAAAGCCCCCTTGTGGCTTTCCCAAAGGCACTCTTACAACGGAGCAGATGCTGGTAGTCAGGAACTGAGTGTACTGAGGCATCTCAATCTACAGCTCATTTCCCTTACCTCTCTCATTGCTTCCCTATCAGTCCTGCTGACTGAAGGCACAACCTATGTTTATTATCTCTTGATCCCACTAAATCATTTTATCCCACCAAAGCAGCTTAGATTTATTTGAATATTTCATACGTCTTCATTGTGCTTTGTACTTCTCATAACCCAAATTTCTCCTTCTATCCCAGGATCAGTAGATATTTTCCTAGATCTTTAAAGTGAGGGGAATAAGAGTCTCCTCCACATTTAGGATTCATATCATTGAGAAAGGAGAATAAAGGATAGAAACTGGAAAGATTGGATAGTCAATAAGAGTGTGATTCAGAGGAATGATCTATTTCCAGTCCTACACTGACCAACACTCACTTAAGCTCAATGTAAGTAAATACAGAAGAGGAAGAAGAGACGAAACATACAGGAAAATATCACGGGTACCCACTTCACCCTTTTTGGCTTCTCACATTAGGATTCTTTACAAAATCTCAACAACCTAGCCTTTCCAACTCACCTCAATAGCAACTCACTGTGTTCTGCAGCCAATGCTATCATTCAGGAACATTTACCAAGTCCCCAGTCTAGGTGAGATCTTATGTTAGAGGATACAGAAATGAACATACTGTGCTGGCTTAGCAAAAACAAACATAGGAAGTACAAGGATAGGGGTAGCAGAAGGGGTTTGGGCAGGGAGTTCAGTTAGGTAAGACATCCAACAGAGCCAATTGATTCAAATTGGTAAGTTCTGAGGTCTCAGAGGTCAGTCAGGGAATCAGAAATAAATGTCCTTGCAAACATGTGTGCAAATCCCAGGACAAAGGTTATTACTTCTCTAAGCCATTTTAGACTTCTTGCTGTCTGTAAAGACCCAGGACCTGGGGAAATAAATATAACCAGAAAGTGGTTCAAGGCTTCCAGGTAAAGCCTGCTGCTGTGAGAATCAAGGAAAAAACTACTAAATTACTCCAGAAACTTAGAAGCATGTGTTGTTATTTAAATAGCTAAAACAGAAGTATACTTGGCTATACACCAAAAGAGCTCATGTTAGCCCTGACAACATTTCAAAAGGACAATAAAGGTTAAGAAAAGAGAAGGAAAAAGGGAAAATTGAAATTTTTTAATTATTAAATGATTAATGTATACACAAAAGCTCAAGGAAAAACAAGTTTTGCAAAATTACCAAAAAAGCTGTCTCAATTGTTTTCAGAAATGCAATTTAACCATGAGAAAAATCTCTCTAATTTTCTGAGATGATTAAAGACAAGGCCTGTTTCTTAATTGCCTGGTTGCTAAACACATTAGGAAATGGATAGAGTTTCAAGATTGAGATGCTGGCCAAATATTATCTTTTGTATTTCCATTTTGTTTAAAAAAAAATAGAGTAATACAGGAAAATAAGGAGCTGTTTGTTAGGAAGTAGAGTGGGAAAGAAATTACAGCGGAGAAAAAAGTGAATTTTTTTTAATGACAGATAAGGAATAATAGTTAAAAACCTAAATACCTGAAGATGGTTCTCCAAAACTAAACTGAAATAAAATTAAAACACATTTTGAATTTATTATTGGGGGATTGCTGCAAGAAGCAGATAGGAAATACTCTTTCCATTATTTTGCAAAGCACAGAGAGTAGTTTTCTAGGCAATTTCGGCACTTTACAAAATGCCCAGAAGCCACAGATCTCTGCAGAAGAGGTCACACGCTCATAGGTTCAAGATAGAAAGCAGAAAGATTCAAGTCAATAGAAACATCAAATTAGTTTGCTGGTTATTGAGTGGAGAGGGCACTTTTATGCCCTGGTCTCCGAACTACTGCCTCAGCTACTCAGAGCAAGTCTGACATTAACCTAGAGGAAACATCAATTCAGAAAAAAAAAGAAAGAAAGAAAAAGACAAAATTCATAATGATCCATATTGGCCATCTGTGTGTCTTAATTTTCTGAAGCTTAAAAACAAATAACTGAAAGAAGTGCCAGATATTTTGCAACATAAGCTGAACTTTCATATATTAGAATAATTGTTTAGCTTTTTAGATGTTTGTGAATTTTTCCTTCCTTAGCTACTGATGGGCCAAAAAGCATTCATGTTATAAATGTGTATGAAGTGATTCCTATTTATAAAATGAGATGGCACACAGAGAAGGGAGTCAACCAAATGACTTCTTTGGGTCCTTCCAGTTCTGAATTATGATTTAATGGCATTCATAACTCTTACTTAAAATGATCTAGCTTGAAAAAATAATACAAATATTAAACATTCAGCATTTATGAAACACACATATTAAGTCCTTAAATGACTGTTAAATAAAAGACTTCTTTCTTGCAGTAACTATATACGAAAGGATTATATATGAAGGAATTATATATATTTACTATACATATATGAATTTCCTATATGTAGGAATATAAAGGAAATTTTATATATATTTATATATTTCCTATATTTTTCTAACAATAGGAAATATACACAGGCACAAATACATATAAATAATTAGATTTTATTTGTGTGTATTTTTAAAATTCTACCATTCCTCTGTATTTATTAGCTAACATTCATATGTAGAGAAAACTTTCCCTCATGAATTGGGCTATTTGGTTTGCCAGAACTATTTTTCCCACTAACAAGCAGACTACATGTATAATTCTTTCTCTTCGACTGCCAATTTTTAGGGTAAGTTGACTTAATAGTCATTTTCAATGGTGGCAAACAATTTTAAAATTTTTATTTTACTTGAAGTTCTGTGGTGCACGAGCACAACATGCAAGTTTGCTATATAGGTATGTGTGTGCCATGTTGGTTTGCTGTACCTATCAACCTGTCACCTAGGTTTTAAGCCCCGCATGCATTACCTATTTGTCCTGATGCACTCCTTCCCCTTGCACCCCCCAAGAGGCCACAGGGTCTGTTGTTCCCCTCCCTGTGTCCATGTATTCTCATTGTTCAACTCACACTTATGAGTGAGAACACATGGTGTATGGTTTTCTGTTCCTGTGTTAGTTCACTGAGGATGATGGCATCCAGTTTCGTCCATGTCCCTGCAAAGGACATGATCTCATTCCTTTTCATGGCTGCATAGTATTCCATGGCATATCTGTACCACATTTTCTTTACCCAGTCTATCATTGATGGGAATTTGGGTTGGTTCCATGTCTTTGCCATTGTAAATAGTGCTACAATAAACATACGTGTGCATGTATCTTTATAGTAGAATGATTTATATTCCTTTGGGTATATACCCAGTAATGGGATTGCTGGATCAAATGGTATTTCTGGTTCTAGACCCCTGAGGAATCGCCACACTGTCTTCCACAATGGTTGAACTAATTTACATTCCCACCAACAGTGTTAATGTGTTCCTATTTCTCCACAGTCTCACCAGCATCTATTGTTTCTTGACTTTTTGATAATCACCATTCTGACTGGTGTGAGACGGTATCTCATTGTGGTTTTGATTTGCATTTCTCTAATGATCAGTGATGTTGAGATTTTTCTCATGTTTGTTGACTACATAAATGTCTTCTTTTGAGAAGTGTCCACTTTATCATTTTTTATTGTGTCTATTTGATTCTTCTCTCTTTTCTTCTTAGCTAGTGGTCTATTTTGTTAATTTTTTCAAACAAACAGCTCCTGGATTCACTGATTTTTTGAAGAGGTTTTGTGTCTCTATCTCCTTCAGCTCTGCTCTGATCTTAGTTATTTCTTGTATTCTGCTAGCTTTCAGATTTGTTTGCTCTTGCTTCTCTCGTTCTTTTAATTGTGATGTTAGGGTGTCAATTTTAGATCTTTCTAGCTTTCTGATGTGGGCATCAGTGCTATATACTTCCCTCTTAACACTGCTTTAGCTGCATCCCAGAGATTCTGGTACATTGTGTCTTTGTTCTCATTGGTTTGAAAGAACTTCTTGATTTCTGCCTTAATTTCATTATTTACCCAGAAGTCATTTAGGAGCAGATTGTTCAATTTTCCACGTAGTTGTGTGGTTTTGACTGAGCTTCTTAATCCTGAGTTCTAATTTGATTGCACTGTGATCTGAGAGACTGTTTGTTATGATTTCCGTTCTTTTGTATTTGATGAAGAGTGTTTTACTTCCAATTATGTGGTCAATTTTAGAATAAGTGCCATGTGGCACTGAGAAGAATATATATTTTGTGTTTTGGGGTGGGGAGTTTTGTAGGTATCTATTAGGTATACTTGATCCAGAGCTGAGTTCAAGTTCTGAATATCCTTGTTAATTTTCTCTCTCATTGATCTGTCTAATATTGACAATGGGGTATTAAAGTCTCCCACTACTACTGTGTGGGAGTCCCACTACTATTGTGTGGGAGTCTAAGTCTCTTTGTAGGTCTCTAAGAACTTGTTTTATGAATCTGAGTGCTCCTGTATTGGGTGCATATCTATTTAGGATAGTTAGTTCTTGTTGAATCGATCCCTTTACCATTGTGTAACGCTCTTCTTTGTCTTTTTTTATCTTTGTTGGTTTAAAGTCTGTTTTATCAGAGACTAGGATTGCAACCCCTGCTTTTTTTTGCTTTCCATTTTCTTGGTAAATTTTCTTCCATCCCTTTGAGCCTATATCTTTGCACGTGAGATGGGTCTCTTGAATACAGCACACCAGTGGGTCTTGACTCTATCCGATTTGCCAGTCTGTGTCTTTTAATTGGGGCATTTAGCCTATTTACATTTAAGGTTAATATTGTTATGTGTGAATTTGATCCTCTCATCATGATGCTAGCTGGTTATTTTGCATGTTAGTTGATGAAGTTTCTTCACAGTGTCACTGGTCTTTATATTCCAGTCTGTTTTTTGCAGTGGCTGGTACCAGTTTTTCCTTTCCATATTTAGTGCTTCTTGCAGTAGCTCTTGCAAGGCAGGCCTGGTGGTGATGACATCCCTCAGCATTTGCTTGTCTGGAAAGGATTTTATTTCTCCTTCACTTATGAAGCTTAGTTTGGCTGGATATGAAATACTGGGTTGAAAATTCTTTTCTTTAAGAATGTTGAATATTGGCCCCCAGTCTCTTCTGGCTTGTAGGGTTTCTGCTGAGTGATCTGCTGTTAGTCTGATGGGCTTCCCTTTGTAGGTGACATGGCCTTACTCTCTGGCTGCCCTTAACATTTTTTCCTTCATACTGACCTTGGAGAATCTGATGATCATGTGTCTTGGGGTTGACCTTCTTGTGGAGTATCTTACTGGTGTTCTCTGCGTTTCCTGAATTTGAATGTTGGCCTGTCTTGCTAGGTTGGGGTAGTTCTCCTGGATAATATCCTTAAGTGTGTTTTCCAGCTTGGTTTCATTCTCCCCATCTCTTTCAGGTACTCTAATCAATCATAAGTTCAATATTTTTACACAGTCCCATATTTCTCAGAGGTTTTGTCCATTCTTTTTCATTCCCTTTAATCTTATCTGCATACCTTATTTTAGCAAGATGGTCTTCAATCTCTGATATTCTTTCTTCCACTTGATCTATTCAGCTATTGATAGTTGTGCATGCTTCATGAAGTTCTTGTGCTGTGTTTTACAGCTCATAAGGTCATTTATGTTCCTCTCTAAACTGGTTATTCTAGTTAGCAGCTCTTGTAACCTTTTATCAAGGTTCTTAGCTTCTTTGCATTGGGTCAGAACATGCTCCTTTACCTCGGTGGAGTTTGCTATTACCCACCTCCTGAAGCCTATTTCTGTCAATTCATCCATCTCATCCTCCATCCCATTCTGCACCCTTGCTGGAAAAGTGTTGCAATGATTTGGAGAAGAAGAGGCACTCTGGCCTTTTGGAGTTTCAGTGGATTTTGTTGATTCTTTCTCATCTTCATGAGTTTGTCTAGTTTCAATCTGACCCTTCAGTGAGGTTTTTGTGGGGACTTTTTTTGATGCTGATTTTGTTGCTTTCTGTTTGTTCGTTTGTTTTTTGAATAGTCAGGTCTGTCTTCTGTAGGGCTGCTGTGGTTTGCTGGGGGTTCACTTCAGGCTCTATTCATCTGGTTCACCCCCATGCCTGGAGATGCCACTTGAGGAGGCTGGAGAACAGCAAAGATGGGTGCCTGTTCCTTCTTCTGGGATCTCTGACCTTGAGGGGCACTGACCTGATGCCAATAGGAATGCTCCTGTATAAGGTGTCTGACAACCCCTGTTGGGGAGGTCTCACCCAGTTGGGTGACACAGGAAGCAGGACCAGTTTAATGAAGCTCTTTGGCTGTCCCTTGGTGAAGGGGGTGTGCTGCACTAGGGGAAAACCCACTTGTCTGGGCTTCATGAATTCTTCAGAGCTAGCAAGAGGAAAGACTAAGTCTGCAGTCAGTGGAGTCTACAGGCACCCCTCCCCTTAGGGGCCCAGGCCCAGGGAGATCAGAGTTCTATCCCTGAGCCCCTGGCTGGAGTTGTTGGAATTCCTACAGGGAAGCCCCACCCAGTGAGAAGGAATGGGTCAGGGTTCAGCTTGAAGAGGTACCCTGGCTGCAGTCTGCCACAGCCAGTGTTGGACTGTGTGGAATACCTCTTGGGACTAAGCCATTTAGTCTCCCTGGCTTCAGCAGGGGAAAGCGTGGCCTAGAGGTATAGAGATGGATGCTGCCCTCCTCCCCACCTGGTAGCTTAGTGTGTTAGGCAGCTAGCAACCCTAGTGTTTGCTGCTGCCACTCCCCTAAGGAGCTCAGATGGCTTAGACAGTAGGCAGCTGCAGCTGTGGTGGTTGGCTGCCCCTCCTCCCAGGAACTTGGCAGGGTTAGGCAGATTCTAGCCAAGTGGCTGTTGAGAATCTGCATAGCTCCACGATTGGGACCCTAGGCCCTGGTGATGTGGGCCCACTAGTGGGATCTTTCAATTCATGGGTTACACAGTTCCATAGAAAGAAGCACCATTTCCCAGGCTGGGTAGCACACTCACTGACCACCTCCCTTGGTTGTGGGGTGAGGGCTCCACTGCCCCATGTGGCTCTCAGGTGGGCCACTGCCCTATACTGCTCTTCCTTCCTTTCTGTGGGTCATGCCAGCTGCCTACTCAGTTCTGATGACAGAACCCAGATACTTGATTGCCAGTGCAGGATTCACACGCTGTTGTGGTTCTTTTCAATGGGAGCCTCCAATCACCACTGCTTCTAGATGGCCATCTTGAACCTGCCCCCAAATAATTTATTTTTTAAACTTTCTCTATTTTTGTATTACTGTGGACTCTTGGATATTTATATACTACATAGGTTACAATCAATTTTAGTCATTATTCTTTTGGATGCTCAAAATGTCCCAAGTCTGACCAATGAGAACGTCTTAAAGCTTGCCCAACTGTTCAACTCGACCCCATTAGGGTCTATGAGTGTTTCCTTACTTTCTGGCACAACAAGGCAACCTAAGTTCACCTGGTATTTTCATTGCCCCAAAACTGCAATCAGCCATTTCCCCAAGTACTCTTGATTCCTTTTGGTGAAGAATGGTACTCAGAAGGCAAAATTTGGGCAGTGGAAGGGTGATTCCTAAGAAAGTGCTATATCTTCTGTGTCTTTCCTTTGAAAAATAATAAGACATATAGAATCATGAATATTTAGATTTCCAAAGCAAATTTAACATTTCAGGATTTTCATTTATTTAATATCTGCATTCTTTTCCCCATACACTGATAATTTATTAGATTTTTCTACAGTATACAAAAAACACAAATTAGCAATGCCAATATTATTACTACTAACATTACTGCATGATGTTTAAGAGTTCTTTCTAGCTCTTTGGACCCTTCAACTATATGCTACTACATATATAGAGAATACTGTTTAAAAGTCACTTGAAATCATTCTTTTCTCTGCATCGCTATATTATCAATACATTCTTATTCGTTTGTAGTCTAGGGTTTGTTTTATTTACTTTTACTTTTGAACATGTAAAACATGTTTCAAAAGTCAAAACTATAATAAAAACATAATTAGAGAAGTTACAATTCCAACCCTATTACTTCAACCCCATTCCTACCATTCTTTATAAGTAATCATGTCTATTAATTTCTAGTTTATTTTTCTAGTTCTTGTTATATAAAATGCAAATAATTATGCATATTTTATTTCTTATACATATTCATGTAGTCTTTCACTCAGTGGTCTGTTTTCTTTATTCTGTTTTGTTTTGTTTTTGTGTTCTATTGGTATCAAAGAGGTTGAAGTTTTGTTCTGTTCATTACTTTTTCATTAATACTTTTGGTAACAACCTTTAGTTTTCCCTTTTCTTTTAGACAATGCATATTGTGTCACCATTGTAAGCTGCAACAAAATCTATTTTAAACGGATTATAGTAATATCCAATGACACCATTTATCTCCATTCTTTCCCACTTCCCCCACCATGATTTAGTTTTGTTATTTTTACCTTGGTATAGCATAAAACAACAAACTCTCCTTTTTCCCTTGTCTGCAAATTTGTTTTACACCTGCAATTTAGGATTAAATATATAAAATATGCACTACCAATACCTCTGTCTAAGTATCCACTATCTTTATTTTTTATAAAGCTCATATTCTAGTAGTTTCCTTAAGAAGGGCTTCTAGGTACAAGATTCCCTAAGTTTTTGCATGTTCCATAGTTATTTGATAGACTTGACTTGAGTGACAATTTGAATAGAATGACATTCTTCACTCCCTTTCTGTTCCTGAGTATCTTAAAAAATGGCACTCCTTTATTTTCTTATGTTGAATGTTTCTGTTAAGAAAACTAATGTCAACCCATCTGCTTTTTTTTTTTTTTGTAAATAACTTAGTCTTTCTTTGCTATGTTTTAGAGATTATAATCCTGGGTCAATTTTTATCGGTGAAAAATGAACCTTATAATGTATAGTTTCAGGCCTTCATTTCAATAGATTTTTTTGAGAATAGTTCTAAGCTTCACTTAATTTTGTCTCATTTTTTGCTTTTCTTCTCCTGGGACACCAAAATATGTATTTGTATCTTCTGTGTTTATCTTCTAAAATCTCTTCATTTATTTTTACTCTCATCATTTGTTTTCTTCTCTTGGCTTTTCCCATTTCTATCCTCCATGGCCCCTGCAGCAACTTATACTTATGTATAGTTTCCTCTGGCCACTGCTATGGACTAAATTATGTATCTCTCTCTCTCTCCCCTAAAATTTATATGTTGAAGCCCCCAATGTAGACTGCATTTGAAGATTGGGTCTTTAAGAAGTAACAAACACTAAATGAAGTCACAAGGGTGGGGTCCTGATCCCACAGGACTAGTGACCTTATAAGAAGAGAAAATTAAGGAGAGAGTTTCTTCAAATGCATGCACTGAGCAAAGGCCATATGAGTACACAATGTCTGCAAGCCAGGAAAAGAGCCCTCATCAGAAACCAGACCCTGCTGGCCCCTGACCCTGGATTTTCCAGCCTCCAGAATGGTGATAAAACATATTTTTGTTGTTTAAACCATAGTCTCTGGTACACTGTTATGCAACCTGGGAAGCCTGAGCAGCTAAAACAACCAAATACATAAATGTATATTTATTTGTACCATGACAATGTACCAGATACATAAATTTGTAATTTATTTCAAATTTCTCAGATGATTTTAACATGTTCTTCATTTCCTTCCTGCATTCTGTTAATTACCTAGTTTTATATTGCTTTTCTTTTTGTATCCTTTGTCTTAAATTTCTAATTCATGATACTCTTTTGTAACTGTGATTTCTCTTTATACTGTTTTAAATTCATTTTGAAGTATCGTTTTACAGTTTTATGGCTATAATTTTTACATTAAATGTTTTAATACACCAGATAGCTTTTATTCTTATTCATCTGTTATTTCTTTGGGTATTTTTGTATGGATACTGGGTCCCTAATTTTTTTCCCAGACTTCAATCAACATTTTATTTACCAAGTCTATATTTAGCAAGACAATGTGGGAGAG